>NC_000017.11:945656-1097171 GCF_000001405.40 Homo sapiens | reverse complement strand
CCATCAGACACGGAGCCCTTAGATCCCACCTGCCACCCACGAGCCTCTTCCTCTGGGCCAAGACCAAGAGCCCCTCCCTGCTCTGCCTTTCTAACAGCTCATGCCCCAAAGGCAGAATCTGTGGGGCAGGGGCCCCCTTCCTGATATGCCTGGCGCAGGTTCCCCCCTTCCCCAGCTGTCTCCTCCCGGGGCAGGTTCCCCCCTTCCCCGGCTCTCTCCTCCCCGGGCAGGTTCCCCCCTTCCCCAGCTCTCTCCCGGGGCAGGTTTCCCCCCTTCCCCAGCTGTCTCCTCCTGGGGCAGGTTCCCCCATTCCCCAGCTCTCTCCTGGGGCAGGTTTCCCCCCTTCCCCAGCTCTCTCCTCCCGGGGCAGGTTCCCCCACTTCCCCCAGCTCTCTCCACCCGGGGCAGGTTCCCCCCTTCCCCAGCTCTCTCCTCCCGGGGCAGGTTCCCCCCCTTCCCCAGCTCTCTCCTCCCGGGGCGGGTTCCCCACCTTCCCCCAGCTCTCTCCTCCTGGGCCCCTGCTTGGCTCTTTCTTGAGCAGAGACCAGAGGGAGCAAAGGAAGAACTCGCTGGGAGGCCAGGTCTGTGGTAGGAGGGCTCAGGAAGAGGAGTAGGACCCTCCACAGCCACAGCCTCAGAAGAAAACCTCAGAGTGAAAGAATCACACCCTTCCTCCTCTCCTCCCTGAGCTGGGAACCCCTGCACCCTCCCCACCCCTCAGCTAGGAGGAAGCTAAACCTTCTGCTCTTCGGGGTGGCCTCGCAAAGGTGCCAGCTTGAAGGAGAAGAAATTCGTTCCCTCCATGCTCGCTTTCCCACTCCTGACCCCATTCCCACCGCTCTGCCCCAGCCTGTTTGCTTTCATCTGAACACTTCCTGATATGCAAAGGGCTGGGTGTGTGTACCTAAAACCATGTGCACACACGGGGCAGACGAGCCTCCACACAGAAGCCTC
Organism: Homo sapiens; assembly: GCF_000001405.40. Classification (NCBI taxonomy): domain Eukaryota; kingdom Metazoa; phylum Chordata; class Mammalia; order Primates; family Hominidae; genus Homo; species Homo sapiens. Next base: position 1,096,217 of record NC_000017.11, on the reverse strand, counting down.
CGTCCTGGCCTCTGGGGTGCTTGTGGGGGTCATCTTCTGGGGCCCTCCTGCTTCCTGGTGGGCTCTGATTACAGGAAAAGCCTGGGAGCCTGGGCCGAAGTAGGGGGTGAAGGAAAAAAGATGAAGCCAACTGCATTGAAATTCTGGATCTCCTTGACACTGGGAACTGAGCTTGGGAACTGTGTCTTGCTACGCTGGGGCCACAGGGTGAGGCCACTCCCCAGAGCCCCTCCCACCGCTGGCCACGACTGGCCCTCCTGGGGTGGACTCCTGGCCACGCTGCATCGCAGGCTCTTTATCTATAAAACAGGTGAATGAGGCCTTCCTCCCTGGGCTCCAGTGACGAGTGACTCGGGTGGCATGGCAGCAAGCATGCCAGGCCTTCTGGGGCAGGAGGTGGAGGAAGTGGGTACATTTCTTTCCCTTATTTCGAAAGGCCGGTCGCTGGGGGACAGAGCTGACAAACGGCTATGTGAAGTCCCACTGGCAAGTGAGAACCGGCCCAGGCCCGTCTTCCTGAGAAGCAGCTGGTATGGGAGCCAGGGTTGAAGTCACTCACGGGTCCTCTCCGAGAACTCGAGTGGTGAAATGGAGAGCCGGGGCCTGCCCTTGTCCCTGCAGCAGGACTGGGGAGGAGGGGGTGCCTGAGTGGTGTGCTAGCGCTTTGGCAGAATGGCTGTGCCGTGCCGAAGCTCAGTGTGGGTCACCTTGCCTTTCAGTCCACCCTCCTGCCCCTGAGCCCATACGCAGGACTTCACCAGAGACAAATAACGGCCTCGAGGGTCCTGGCCAGCCAAGGGCACACACCCAGCCCTGTCCCCTCCCCGCGAGTGAAATCAGGAGTAACAGCCAAGGTCCCCATCGTGTCATGAGAACCATCTGATGCCCCAAGCGCAGGCCCCGTCCTTGTGACTGGCTGTGGGTGAGCGTCCATTTCTTCCCCTTTTGCAGACGGGGTGGGAAGTTGAGGAGGAAGCATAACCATTGTGTTTTGTCTTCGTGTGGGTGGCAGATGAGCGCGTCGCGGCTTCTGAGAAATCCCGTCTCCTTGGCCTTCCTGGGACTGCTGACCTTCCTGCTTCCCTTATTTCCCCCTCAGTGGGGACTGCGCCAAGGCGGGGACAAGAATTCTTGGGTATGGGGATTCTGTGGCGACTCTGCGGGCTCCTCCGTGGGGTCCTGCGTTGAGGTGAAAAGGATAAACTCTTACGACGATGTCAATCCTGAAGCTAGTTCCATGTCCCTCATGGAGGGTGGGGAGTCCCCAAAGCTTTCAGCTCACCCACCTGGGCTTGGGGGGACACTCTTCCCTTGCTCCTGCCTCCCGGTGCCTTCTGTTTCCCTGTCTGGCATGCCTCTCTACGCCCCCACTCCTCCACCTGCTCAGCTCTCCAAGGACCTGGTATGTGTGCCTCCTCCATGCAGCCCTCCAGGCTACTCCAGCACAACCTTGGAACCATGTGGTTGGTGCTTACAGTCAGTCGCATCGTCCATAGTCATTTCATCTGTGTTGGCCCATTTTGCCCAACTGGATTATAAAGGTCTCAGCCAGGCATGGTGGCTCAACACCTGTCATCCCAGCACTTCAAGAGGCCGAGGCACGTGGATCACTTGAAGTCAGGAGTTTGAGACCAGCCTGACCAATATGGTGAAACCCCATATCTACAAAAACTACAAAAACTAGCTGGGCGGGGTGGTGGACACCTGTAATTCCAGCTACTCAGGAGGCTGAGGCAGGAGAATCGCTTGAACCTGGGAGGCGGAGGTTGCAGTGAGCCGAGATTGCACTATTGCACTCCAGCCTGGGTGACAGAGTGAGACTCTGTCTCAAAAAAAAAAAAAAAAAATTGCAGTCTGGGACCATGATCGTGTACGCACTGACGGGAATGCCAGTAGGTAGCGCATGGCTGTATTATCCCAGTTTCACACATGAGGCTGCTGGTGACACGAAGCCCAGGGATGCTGAGTGATGTGCGCACAGCAGAGCTGCGACTCAAGCCCACCCTGCCTGGCCTGCACCAGGTGGAACCCCATGCGCTTGCCTAGCAAGGACCAGACACCGAGGGGCCGTTGGTTCTAGGACGGCGAGGGTCAGAAGGAGAGGCCTGACCGGACGCAGAGGGGCCGTTGGTTCTAGGACGGTGAGGGTCAGAAGGAGGGGCCTGACCGGACACCGAGGGGCCATTGATTCTAGCACAGCGAGGGTCAGAAGGAGAGTCCTGACTGGACACTGAGGGGCCGTTGTTTCTAGCGCGGCGAGGGTCAGAAGGAGGGTCCTGCTTTGTCCTGCATGGATTGTTGGATCTGGGCTTTTTAGAGCTCGGAGGATGAAGGAGCCAGAAGGCAGAGCACCATCTGGGTGTCTGAGTAGATGAGACGACTTCTTCCAGTGAACATGGGTTCTGTCTCCATCAGAGTGAGGCGATATATCTGAGTAGATGAGACTTCATCAGAATGAGGTGATGTGAGGCTGGAGTGAGGCTGGGCTGGGAGTTTGCCGTGGTTGGCTGGAGCTGGTGGTCGTCGTTCAGAGGGAGCTGGCGCTGGCTTTGGTGTTCCCTTCAGTGCAGCATTTTCAGCAGTGGAGTCACCCATTCTCTGCTAGAATGCTTCTCTTGTCGGAAAGCTCACTACTTAATCCTATGGGGGACAGCTCTAGTGAGCCCGAATCTGACCCCATAACTTTTCCCCACTGTTCCTGGGTCTGCAGAGCAACGTAGATTAAGTCTAAGCCTCGTTTTTGTTTTTGGAGACAGAGTCTGGCTCTGTCACCCAGGCTGGAGTGCAGTGGCGCAATCTTGGCTCACTGCAACCTCTGCCTCCTGAGTTCAAGAGATTCTCCTGCCTCAGCCTCCTGAGTAGCTGGGATTACAGGTGTGCACCACCACGCCCAGCTAATTTTTGTAGTTTTAGTAGAGACGGGGTTTCACCATGTTGGTCAGACTTGTCTCGAACTCCTGGCCTCAGGTGATCTACCTGCCTCGGCCTCCCAAAGTGCTAGGATGACAGGTGTGAGCCACCGTGACCAGCCAAGTCTAAGCCTCTTTCCACGTGGCCTTCAGGTAGGTGAAGAACATCAACAGAATCCGACATGGCTGGCCGGGCGCGGTGGCTCACGCCCGTAATCCCAGCACTTTGGGAGGCCGAGGTGGGTGGATCACGAGGTCAGGAGATCAAGACCATCCTGGCTAACACAGTGAAACCCCGTCTCTACTAAAAATACAAAAAAAATTAGCCAGGCGTGGTGGCGGGCGCCTGTAGTCCCTGTTACTTGGGAGGCTGAGGCAGGAGAATGGCGTGAACCCGGGAGGCGGAGCCGAGATCGCACCACTGCACTCCAGCCTGGGCGACAGAGCGAGACTCCGTCTCCAAAAAAAAAAGAATTCGACGTGGCTGCTCTCCCTCTGGCCACCCTGCCCTTCCCTGCCACACCTTCCCTGTATGGCAGGTTATCAGGCCCTGTGTCCTGCAGGGCCTTTGCAGTACAGCCTGGTCATCTTTGGTTTTTTTTTTTCTGATTATTCATATTCATTCATTGTAGGTGATTTATAAAATGCAGAGAACCACACTGAGGAAATGCCTGCACGTCCCGTTATCCCACGGTCCCACTGCTAGGCTGGAAGGTGATGGCATCAGCTCCCGGCCAGTGCTGGGGGTTGGTCTGTGTTATCTGCCACCTCACCGTCTACACTGGCAGGCCCTGGAGCATCTTGGTATAGACAGGCAGGCATTGAGAAAGAGTCTGAGACTGGAGACCCCTGCCATGCGCAGTGGGAAGGACCATCACGGTCGCTTAGCAATGTCTGCCACGGGGGTGGGCTGCAGTGGGGGACACGTGAACGCCCATGCCTCTCCCTGTGCCAAGTGACGGGAACTTGGAACATCAGTGAGGCCAAGACTGGTCTTGAGTAACTTCGGGTCCCTACCTTCTGAGTCCTAGAACCACATTCTGTTTCTTGGAAGGAAACAGCTATAGGCTTGAGTTCCCTGTCAACCCTCCCTTCCACTGAAGTGTGACAAGGAGCTTATGACTCGGGGCACAGGCTATCGTGGAAGAAAGACGCGGATCCTGTTAACCCAGTACAGGCTGCTGCTGAGCTCAGCTGCGTGGTAGGGGAGTGAGCCCAGGCACCACCCCTCGGGCCTGGCACAGCTGCCAGGCCAGGTTCCTGCTGTCGAGTGTGCGGCTTGTTGGGGCCTGTGGCAGTGGCTCCTTGATACAAAGCTCGTTTCAGTGCCCTGCCTTTGGCAGCCTTGTCTGGGCAGGACTTGGGCAGCGGGAAGGGCTAACGATCGGCCCCGGGGCCTGCCGACACTCTGGTTTGTTTACCCCCGACCTCTGCTCTTTCTTCCTCTGTTTCTCCCAGCCCATGAAACCCCTGAAGGCCACCGCCACCACCTCCCAGCCCGTGCTCACCATCCAGCAGATCGAGACCATCTTCTACAAGATCCAGGACATCTATGAGATCCACAAGGAGTTCTATGACAACCTGTGCCCCAAGGTGCAACAGTGGGACAGCCAGGTCACCATGGGCCACCTCTTCCAGAAGCTGGTGAGTCTGCCAGGGATGGAGGGTCCTCACGCAGGGCCTCAGTGGAGCCCATAGTGTTGCAGGAGCCTCAGGAGAGGACCGGGCAGCCCTCTCGGACTCCTTGAAGGCCTGAGACCTCTCCGAGTCCGGGAGGAAGGCCTGGGCCTGTGTGTTATGGGGTGCCTGGGGCCGGGGCCTTGACTCTAGGCCTCCCCTGGTGCAGCCCTGGGAGCTTCTGGGGTGGTGGAGACAGGCTGTGTGGATAGGTCCTTCCAGGGGTGGTGGAGATGGGCTGTGTGGATGGGCACTTCTGTGGGAGCACCATCTCTCTCCCGGAGGGTGCTCCTTCTCCCTCCCGGAGGGTGCTCCGTCTTTCCCGGACGGTGCTCCCTCTCTCTCCCGGAGGGTGCTCTGAGGAACCAGCCCTGGAATGAAGGCTTCTTGCTGGGCTTCAGTCTCCTGTCCCTCAGTGAACAGAGGGGCACATGCCGGGTTAGGGGCATGAGGACTGCTCCCCTGAGACCTCGGGTCTGTAAAAGGAAGCAGTTGGGCACACTGGCCGATGATCCTCTCCTGAGGTCCCAAGAGCAGGAAGCACTGAAGCCCAGCCCTGCTCACCACTGCAGGGTCGGGAGCGGCAGGAGTGGGTGGGTTAACATGCAGACCTCGTGTTGGGAAACGTTCACAGAAGTCTTCTGGTTCCCTGTGCTTCTGTGACACCCTCTCCCCCAGCTCTGCCCCATCTCTGGCTGTGTCCCCTGGAGGACCCCCAGGTCAGACTCATGGAGCTCCCTCCCCACCTCTGCTACGTAACGTCTGACCGCCCAGCAGGCAAGAGGGAGACTGGGAGTCCAGGCCGCGGTTCTTCTCTGGGTGTGAGTGGCCAGAGGACCTTCTCCTCCTTCCTGCCCTGTTCTCTGGGTGTGAGAGGCTGGAGGCCTCCTCCCCTCCCCTGCCGTGTTCTGGCTGAATGGACAGGGCTCTGCCTTTCTCACGCTGGAGAAGACTCTCCCTCTCCTGCCTGGACACTCCTAGGACCTCTAGCTGAGTGTGTTCAGAGCTGAGCTCCCTGCCTCCGGCGTCACCTGCTCCGCTTCCTGTCTTTACCTCACCGAGTGCTTCAGACTCTTTCTGGCTGCACCCCCTCCCCCACCTGTCCTGTGGACTCCACTTTTTGGCCGTTGCTCACAGCCGCCTTTTCCTCTTCTTGGCCACCCATGGCCCTCACCTGGACAGCTGCGTATCCTCCTGTGTGGCTCCTGCCTCCAGGCCCACTCACCTCCCACCCCCACCTCTCCTTAGAGGGGAGAGAGTCACTGAAACCTCGACGGCCCCTTCAGCGGATCCCCACGGCCCTCGGATGAAGGTCAGGCTCCGAGGAATGGCTCGAGAGACCCTTTGCACACTGACCCGTGTCCAGCCCCAGCCTTGGCAGCTTCCTCCCCGCACCTCTGTGCTCCTGACACTGGACTTTCTGTTCTCAGTTCCCAGGGCAGGCACTTTCTTAACTCTTGGTACTTGAGGCCCCGTGTGCCTGAAACGTCCTTCCCCCTCTCGTCTGGCCTCCCCTGGTCAGTTCCCAGCTTAGAAGGGACCTCCTCCAAGAAGGCTTTCCAAGTCGCCAAATGCAGGCCTTGTGCCAGTCCTCGTAGTGAGCACTAGTAACTGCCTGACTCCCCCAAACCACAAGTTCCAGGAGGACGGACTGCATTTCCTTTTTTTGTTGAGACGGAGTCTCACTCCTGTCGCCCAGGCTGGAGTGCAGTGGCGTGATCTCGGCTCACTGCAACCTCCTCCTCGCGGGTTCAAGTGATTCTCCTGCCTCAGCATCCCGAGTAGCTGGGATTACAGGCGCCCACCATCACACCCGGCTAATTTTTGTATTTTTAGTAGAGACGGGGTTTCGCCATGTCGGCCAGGCTGGTCTCGAACTCCTGACCTCAGGTGATCCGCCCGCCTCGGCCTCCCGAAGTGCTGGGATTACAGGCGTGAGCCACCGCGCCCGGCCTGCATTTCCTTCTTCTTAGACTCCCAGAACCAGCCCAGTGGTCACTGCTTGAATGAGTGAATGCACCGTGACCTTGACCACTGGGCCTCGGGAGAACTCGGAAGGGCATGGAGGGAGACGTTGCAGGGCCTGAGATTTCTGTCCTGAGAGTCCTGTTTCTCCAGCACAGCTTCTAGAGCCGTGTCACAAAGTGGGCTTGAATCCCAGCGCTGCCAGATTAAACCTGCAACTGGGCAACTTACCCAACCGCTCTGAATCAGCTTCCTCATCTGTAAAAAACAGGATAGTAACAGTATTTACCTCATTGGGTGATTTTGAGGAGTTAATATCTGAAAACTGCATGGGGCTGAGTGTGGTGGCTGACGCCTGTAATCCCAGCACTTTGGGAGGCTGAGGCTGGAAGATCACTTGAGGCTTAGAGTTCAAGACCAGCCTGGGCAACATAGCAAGACCCTATCTCTACAAAGAAATAGAATAGGCCTGACTGAGCGTGGTGGCTCACGCCTGTAATCCCAGCACTTTGGGAGGCCGGGGTGGGTGGATCGTGAGGTCAGGAGTTCGAGACCAGCCTGGCCTACATGGTGGAACCCCATCTCTACTAAAAATACAAAAAAATTAGCAGGGTGTGGTGGAATGCACCTGTAGTCCCAGCTACTCAGGGGGCTGAGGCGGGAGAATCGCTTGAACCTGGGAGGCAGAGGTTGCAGTGAGCCAAAACCACACCATTGCACTCCAGCCTGGATGACAGACTGAGACTCTGTCTCAAAAAAAAAAAAAAAAAAAAATGGCTGGGCACAGTGGCTCACGCTTATAATCCCAGCAACACTTTGGGAGGCCAAGGTGGGCGGATCACCTGAGGTCAGGAGTTCAAGACCAGCTTGGCCAACATGGTGAAACCCCGTTTCTACTAAAAATACAAAAATTAGCCGGGCATGATAACACGCACCTGTGATCCCAGCTACTACTCGGGAGGCTGAGGTGGGAGAATCGCTTGAACTCGGGAGGCAGAGGTTGTAGTGAGCCGAGATCGTGCCACTCCACTCCAGCCTGGGCGACAAGAGCAAGACTCTGTCTCAAAAAAAGAAATAGAATACAATAAAGTAAAAGAAAAAGTGCTTGGAACAGGGCCTGGAACATCATAAATTAATAAGTACTCAATAACTGGTCATTATCATCAGTGCCATTATTATTATTATTATTATTATTATTATTATTATTATTATTAAATTGGGAAGAGGCACCCTGGAAGGTATCCTTCCAAGGGAATGCCACACTCTGGTTCTAGCATACCCCCCCCTGCTCCCTCCGGTTCAGGGATGGTGAACACCTGTCATCACTGCCTGCTCACCTGAGCTGAGTGGCCTGGGGGGCATCCTCTCCTCATCCCTCAGGAGGGTAGAGGAGAGCAAACCTAGGGTTGCTGGAAACGCTGTCACAGTTTATCTTTGTCACTTGGACCTGGCTGTCCCCGGTTCTGGTCTTGGCTCCACAGGCCTGGCCGTGAATCTGCTACCCACCACTTTCCCTCCCCAGCATCGTGAACCGATGCCTGAGGCCCCTGGGGCTGCAGATTTGGGAGGGCCCGGGGGGAGCCGGGTCAGGTCTGGCATCCGGAGGTGGTTTATTTTCAGCCGAAGACTCTGGGTATTTGATTATTCGTTACTGAGAGAAGGGAATTAGCGTCTCTGCTGTTTGTTTTATGAGATCACTCCAGTGCCAGGCTGCTGTTTCCAGGCAACCTGCACTTCCCAGTTAATGAACCTGCCAAGCCAGGCCTCGGGCCCTACCGCCTGGGGTGACTGTGGCAGCGGCAGTCCCTGAGATTACCGTGACCCTGGACGCAGGCCTCCGCACGGCTGGCTCCTGCCCCTGGCTCCTGGGAGGGTGGTGTGCCAACCCGGGCCTCCAGGCTTTCTCCTTCTTGTGGGAAAGGGGGCAAGAGGAGCCTTTTCCTGGAAGAATATCGGTGATCTGACTTTGGCTTAGGCAGCGACTGTCTAGTATGCCTCGTGTAGCGTGGGCATTGATGGGCCGGGCCTCAGTACTCCCTGGAAAAGGAAATAAACTCCCTCCCGTCCGGCCCCGCCCCCTTTTAAGGTCAGGCCCCACCCCCTTTAAAACTCAGGCCCCGCCCTCTTTTAAAAGTCCGGCCCTGCCCCCTTTTAAAGTCCTGCCCTTCTGCAGCTGAGACCTGAATGCCTCTGGCCTTGGCGTCACGCCGGGCGTCCCCACTCGCGCTCCCCTCTGGCTTTTCCAGATGCCCCCCGCTCCCCTGCCCCACCAGCTTCCTCAAAGGGCTCTGCCTCTGTACTGGGAGGCTCCAGGCTCAGCCGATGCTGCGGCCAGCCTGCCCCCACCCCTACCCCCACCCCAGCCTCTCTGGGTCCTTGGGGAGCATGAGGATCCTGCAGAAAGCAGAGTGGTCCGGGGTGGGGGTCCACAGCAGCCCACTTCCCCCAGCACCTTGGTGGGAAGCAGAGGCCCCTGAGGAAGCCAGGCAGCAGCTGTATCCCCCTTGCTGCTGTATTGAAAAACATTTAAACCAGAAACTCCAAAGAATAACAGCAGAACCTTCTAATGAAGAAAATACAGCGTCACACATGAAGGTGGAGTCTCCCCTCCCTCCTCCCTCTTGAAGCAGCTACTGGCATGAATTTGGTGGATAGCCTTCCAGACTGCAGTTTGTGTGTTTACTACATATCTGTATCTATTTTGGGTTGGCCTGTACTTTAAAAAAAAAAAAAGGTCTTGCTATGTTGTCCAGGCTGGACTTGAACTCGGGCTCAAGTGATCCTCCCACCTCAGTCTCCCAAGTAGCGAGGGCTATAGGTGTGTGTACCACAGCTCCCAGCTGCATGTACTTTAAAAATGTGTCTAAGCCAGGCGTGGTGGCTCACGCCCGTAATCCCAGCACTTTGGGAGGCGGAGGCGGGTGGATCACCTGAGGTCAGGAGTTCAAGACCAGCCTGACCAATATGACGAAACCCTGTCTCTACTAAAAATACAAAAACTAGCCGGGTGTGGTGGTGCGTGCCTGTAGTCCCAGTTAGTCAGGAGGCTGAGGCAGGAGAATCACTTGAACCCAGGAGGCGGAGTTTGCAGTGAGCCAAGATCGTGCCAGTGCACTCCGGCCTGGTTGACAGAGCGAGACTCCATCTCAAAAAAAAAAAAAAAAGTGTATAAGTATACACATATATCATATTTTACAGTTCAACCCATGTTCGTTTTGGAGCTTGTCAGCAATCGTATTTTACAGTTCAACCCATGTTCGTTTTGGAGCTTGTCAGCAATGCTATGTGTAAATCGGGTGCATCCATGTTCATGGCTGTGTGCGCGGCTTCCCCCGTTTGTGAGCATTTGTTACCAGTCCCTCCACTATGAGGAGGAAAAGTGAGATGGTGAACACCCTTGAGTCCCCTGGGGCACACACATAGGCCATTTGCTCCAGAGCACTGCTGTCTAATGGAAATAGCTTATGAGCCACGTACATCATTTCACATTTTCTAATACCCACCTTTTTTTTGTTTTTTTGAGACGGGGTCTTGCTCTTGTCACCCAGGCTGGAGTGCAGTGATGCAATCTGGGCTCACTGCAACCTCCACCTCCTGGGTTCAAGCGATTCTCCTGCCTTGTCCTCCCAAGTAGCTGGGACTACAGATGCGTGCCACCACGCCCGGATAATTTTGTATCTTTAGTGGAGACAGGGTTTCACCATTTTGGCCAGGCTGGTCTCGAACTGCCAACCTTAGGTGATCTGCCCGCCTCGGCCTCCCAAAGTGCTGGGATTACAGTTGTGAGCCACCGCGCCTGGCCCCTAATACCCACATTTTTAAAAGTAAAAATAGGCAGGTGAAATTAATTTTGAGAATATCTTTTATTTATTCCCGCAGATCCAAATATTATTTGAACATGTAATCAGTATTTAAAAATTAACGAGGTAATTTACATTCTCTTTTACATACTAAGGCTTTGGAACCCACTGTGTATTTTACATGTCCGGCACGTCTCAGTTTGAACCGGCCGTATCTCAGGTGCTTGGTAGCCTCAGGTAGCTGGTGGCGACTGCACTGAACGATACGGCTCTGCAGTTTGTATGTAAAAGTGGATTTGCTAAGCAATCGATGGGCTGTGCCTATCCACACTGTTATTAGTTCAACTGAAAATAGGCCATGCCTATTCTCAGCTTTATTAGTTATTAACAAATTGCTCTCCAAATAATTGTACTAATTTACACTTCCCCGAGTAGTCTAAGAGTTTAAATTGGCCGGGCGCGGTGGCTCACGCCTGTAATCCCAGCACTTTGGGAGGCCGAGGCGGGTGGATCACGAGGTCAGGAGATCGACACCATCCTGGCTAACATGGTGAAACCCCGTCTCTACTAAAAAAAAATACAAAAAATTAGCCTGGCGTGGTGGCGGGCGCCTGTAGTCCCAACCACTCAGGAGGCTGAGGCAGGAGAATGGCGCGAACCTGGGAGGTGGAGCTTGTAGTGAGCCGAGATGGCATCACTGCATTCCAGCCTGGGTGACAGAGCGAGACTCCATCTCAAAAAAAAAAAAAAAAAAAAGTTTTAATTGGCCGGGCGCAGTGGCTCACACCTGTAATCCCAGCACTTTGGGAGGCCGAGGCAGGTGGATCACCTGAGGTTGGGAGTTTGAGACCAGCCTGACCAATATGGAGAAACGCCGTCTCTACTAAAAATACAAGATTAGCCAGGCGTGGTGGCGGGCGCCTGTAACGCCAGCTACTCGGGAGGCTGAGGCAGGAGAATCCCTTGAATCCGGGAGGTTGCGGTGAGCCGAGATCGCACCACTGTACTGCAGCCTGGGCAACAAGAGCGAAACTCCATCTCAAAACAAAAACAAAAACAGGGAGTTTAAATTTCCCCATATGCTTGCCAGCCGTTGCTGTCAATTAGACTTTTAAATTTTGACCCTTCTGATGAGTATAAAATATCTCGTGATGGCTTTAATTTGAATTTCTACCCTTTGGTCCCTTAAGAGGAAGTGCTTATATACAGCGCAGCGAAGCCTTTCCATAAATATTTGGGGAATTGACTTATGGAGCCTCGGTTTCCCCTTTTGCAGAAAGGGGCGATGGGGTCTGCCCTGCCTCTCAGAAGAGGCGAGGCTCTGTGTGGTTGTGACTCAGGTTGTGACTGTGTGAGTGACAGGCAAACGTGTAGTGAGGCTGGGGCTTTGGCTCCTTGGAGGTAGAGGAGGTGGAAGAGGTGAGGACGGGGCCTCAAGGCCAAGGGAAATGGAAAGACAGCATCTTCATTTGTTGTTTTGTTTTCTTTTTGAGACGGAGTCTTACTCTGTCACCCAGGCTGGAGTGCAGTGACACGATCTTGGTTCACTGCAGCCTCCACCTCTTGGGTTCAAGCGATTCTCCTGCCTCATTCTCCTGAGTACCTGGGATTACAGGCACGCGCCACCATGCCCAGCTAATTTTTGTATTTTTAGTAGAGACGGGGTTTCGCCATGTTGGCCAGGCTGGTCTGGAACTCCTGACCTCAGGCCTCCCAAAGTGCTGGGGTTACAGGCGTGAGCCGCCACGCCCGGCCAAGACAGCACCTTTAAATGTCGTTCCCCACGCTGCACGTGGGGAGGGAGGCCTGAGCAGGCCACACGTGCCAGCTCCCCCCAGCACACACACCCCCCTCTCTCCCTGCTCCGGCTAATTCCAGGATGTGAAGGAAGTATGAGACATTAAGGGATTTCAAACCCTGGGAGACCTTCACCGTGCTGAGGAAAGCTGGATGCTGTGAAGAGTTGAATTTCTAGCAGGCCAACAAAGGCCCTAGCCTGGTCTCCCCAACCCCAGACCCCCTCATTAACCTTATTGGCTGAGCTGGTTTCCATGGAAACTGTCCAGTTCAAAGGGACACTGTAATATGTTCATCCCTGCGTTTCCCCAAGTTCCCAACGAGCTGAGTGAGAGGTTTTCAGTGCAGGGGAGCTCCCGGTGCTCCGTGAAGCTTTCATCCATTCATTAATCCTCTCCCCTCCCACCCTCCTCTCCCTCTGTTCCCTGACTCCTCCCTGCAGGCCAGCCAGCTCGGTGTGTACAAAGCGTTTGTCGATAACTATAAAGTCGCTCTGGAGACAGCTGAGAAGTGCAGCCAGTCCAACAACCAGTTCCAGAAGATCTCAGAGGTAGGCCGCTCCCCACATAGCCACCCTGAGGGACAAGGAGCTTTGGGGGCTGCTCAGAGCCCTTGGTCTCCCCTCCCTCGCTTGCCAGTCGGTGAAGTGGTTACTCTAATGGGTAACACTTAGCCTGATATTTGCTTTCTTGCACCTGACATTTTCCCTCTTAATAGAAAACGATCTATTTTATTTATTTTTTTATTATTCTCTTTCAGATTAGAGAGAGGAACAGGGGAGGCAAAAAAAAAAAAAAAAAAAAAAAATCCAAGGCAGTGTTCTCCCACACCACACTATGGTGACCTTGAGCAAGTCACGTCCCCCCTCTTGGCTTTTATGTCCTGTCCGGTAGAATGAGGGGTTTAGAAATGGCCAGATAATCCTTTTTTTTTTTTTTTTTTTTTTGAGACAGAGTCTTGCTCTGTCGCCCAGGCTGGAGTGCAGTGGCGCGGTCTCGGCTCACTGCAACCTCTACCCCCTGGGTTCAAGTGATTCTCCTGCCTCAGCCTCCCAAGTAGCTGGGATTACAGGCGCACACCACCACGCCTGGCTAAGGTTTGTATTTTTAGTAGAGATGAGGTTTTGCCGTGTTGGCCAGGCTGGTCTCGAACTCGGGTGATGTGCCCGTCTCAGCCTCCCAAAGTGCTGACATTACAGGTGCGAGCCACTGAGTCCAGCTTGGCCAGCTAATCCTGACCTTGCTTGATAAGAATCACTGGGGCATTGTTTAAAACACAGATTTCCTGGCACCTTCCCCGGAGCTTCTGATTCAGAAGGCTTTGCGTGGGGCCCAAGATTCTATATTTGAACAAGCTTCTGGGTAATATTTATGACAGGGAAGTCTTGAGGAAATTTGGACTATAGGTCGTCTTTTAAGGTTCTTGCCAACTCTAAGACTGCCATCCCATAAACACAAAAAGGGTAAGAGCCACTTATGTGGAGAAGGAGCCTTAGAATCCCTGGCCGGGAACACGCGTGCTTCTGCTCCTGAGGCCCAGCCTTCCTGGCCAGGAACACGCGTGCTTCTGCTCCTGAGGCCCAGCCTACCTGGCCGGGAGCACACGTGCTTCTGCTCCTGAGGCCCAGCCTTCCTGGCTGGGAACACGCGTGCTTCTGCTCCTGAGGCCCAGCCTTCCTCCCGCACTCCTCCACAGGGCAGAGGTGCAGTCCTATCTGCCATCAACATTTCTACCTAAGAGGTGGCATGGAGGGACAGTTGCTTAGGATCCTTCAGGACAGAGCCCAGTTCATCCCTTTGTCCAAAAAGACCTCAGTGGCACCCCTGAAGCACTGGCCTGAGAGGAACAGCCCCCAGCTCAGGGCAAGAGAACCTCCATCCTAGAAAAGGGGAGAAGCTTCTGCAGTTTTGGGAGTCCTGCCGTAAAGGCCCCTCTTGGCCCTTTGTGTTCCCGTCTCAGCTCTAACGCTAGAAGAGTTGGGGAAACGCAGGGTAGTTTTCCTGAAACTTCAGGGGTGACGGTCGATGCCCACGTTTAGAATCCACCGAGAGGCAGCAGAGAAGCTGACAGTTGGAGATGAACATGTCACCTTCATTACTGTTAAAAAAATGCAGCTTGGAAAATGTGGATTTGGATCTGTAGCCACAGTGGGCTTGCTGACACTTCGCCTCTGGAATGAAACGTACCTATAGAAGCCGGGCGTGGCGGCTCACACCTGTCATCCCAGCACTTTGGGAGGCCGAGGCGGGCGGATCACCTGAGGTCAGGAGTTTGAGACCAGCCTGGCCAACGTGGCGAAACGCCGTCTCTACTAAAGATACAAAAATTAGCCGGGCGTGGTGGTGCACACTTGTAATCCCAGCTATTTGGGAGGCTGAGACAGGAGAATCTCTTGAACCCGGGAGGTGGAGGTTGCAGTGAGCTGCGATCACGCCACTGCACTCCAGTCTGGTGACAGAGCGAGACCCTGTCTGGAAAAAAAAAAGTATCTATTGAGTCCCTTGCAGGAATAGGAAAACACAGGCCCCTCTCCACAATGAGGACAGAGCCCACGCCTCTTACCCAGTGTGCAGAGAGAGGATGGCTGACCATAGTTTCTTCTCCCAGACCCATGGAGCAGATGTGTCACCCTCTGCCTGGGAGGACGAAGTGCAGGGTGGGGAAGTCCCTCTCCATGGAGTCAAGTGGCTGGAGAGGCCAGGTGCAGTGGCTCACGCCTGTAATCCCAGCACTTTGGGAGGCCGAGGCGGGAGATTGGCTTGAGCCCAGGAGTTCAAGACCGGCCTGGGAAACATGGTGAAACCCCGTCTCTATTAAAAATACAAATAAAAGGGGCTGGAGAAATGGTGCTTTCCCTGCGGTTTCCAGCCCAACCCAGGAACTACCTGGACTCCCCTGGTCTGTGTTCAGATCAGCCCTGCCAAGGCCGCCCAAGATCCCGGGGTCAGACATGGTGCAGAGAGTGTGGGGTCTTCTCTTGGCCTGGGCTGATTGCCTGTTCTCTGTGCCTAGGCAGAAACCCCCACACCCAACCATAAGCCCCTCACAGCCTGCCCACCCTGGAGGGCAGAGCCAGGCCCCTGGCTTTCTGCCAGGTGGCTTCTCATCCTGACTCACTCGATGACGTGCTTGCTTCCTGCTGAGGCTGCCACTTAATTACTGCAATTAGGCTCCTCTCTGCAGCAGGAGTGATTTCATACCCTAGACTTCACTGGAGGGGGCGTGAGGAAACATTCCCGAAATCTGGGAGTCCAGGCACCAGCCAGAGACACAGGCTGGGGACGCTGAGTATCCCCCACCCCCCCGCCCCCCAAAATATACACACACCCAAGCTCCATCTCCAGGAGTTTTCTCTGTCTAGAAACAGCTTGAGACAGAAGTAGGAAGTTCCTGCTGTCTGAGCGCTTCCTCCCCTGCAGACCAAGCAGGTGGCATCACCTCGGCAGCTGACCTTGGCCTCATCACCTGGGCAGCTGACCTTGGCCTCATCACCTGGGCACCTGACCCTGGCCTCATCACCTGGGCACCTGACCGTGGCCTCACCTTGCCTCCTGCCTTCCCTCCCACACCCCTCTTTGAGGCTCCGTGTGCTCCGTCTGCCAAGTGGGGATGGTATTACAGCTCCAGTTGCAGGCTGCACTGTCCTGTTAGCAAAAGCTGGGGCTGGAACGTCTCTAAAGGAGGATAAAGAGGCTTGGAGCAGATGAGTCATCCCGGGGGTCTTTCCAGTACTCACTACCTGCTGCCTGGCTTGGGATCCAGGAGGGGCATTGGCTGTTCCTCCCTCGAAGCTTCCTCTCGGACCCCCAGCATGGGCAGTGGTGGGTGGGGAGTGTCGGGGGTGCTGGGGGCTGAGTAAGTGCTCTCTGATGGGGGTAGGATGCAGCTCACTGTCCTGGGGAGCTCAGCATCTCTGCCGAAGGTCCACCACTTCCCTGCTGGCGTGTGGGACCCTTCCTTCCTACCTCATGGGTTCCTCATGCCCTAAAGATTGGCTGGAGTACCTGGCGCTGGTCAACTCAAACCCTGTCTGCCCTTGGCCGACGTGTAGGGTTCCTGAGTCGGGGTTCCTGTAATCACAGGGCTCCCTGCCAGCCTCTCTCATCTCTGGGACCTGGAGTCCCTTCCTTCTTGCCCACGCCCCAGCCACTGGACTCCACGAGGCTCCAGGAGTTCACAGGTGTGGTGCAGGGGATTGGGGTGGCAGAGGCAGCCCATGGCCATGGGGCTCCTTTGTCTTTCTTTTTTTTTTTTTTTTTTTTTTTTTTTTTTTTTTTTTTTGAGACAGAGTCTCGCCCTGTTGCCCAGGCTGGAGTGCAATGGTGTGATCTTGGCTCACTGCAACCTCCGCCTCCCAGGTTCAAGCGATTCTCCTGCCCCAGCCTCCCAAGTAGCTGGGATTACAGGCACCTGACACCACACCTGGCTAACTTTTGTATTTTTAGTAGAGATGGGGTTTCACCGTGTTGACCAGGCTGGTCTCGAACTTCCGACCTCAGGTGATCCGCCCACCACGGCCTCTCAAAGTGCTGGGATGACTGGCGTGAGCCGCCACACCCGGCCTCTGTTCTCATATGTACACCCTGAGTTTCAGAACTCCCCTTCTTGCCAGGCTCACAGTGGGGGCTGGGAGAGGTGAGGGACAGAACAGGCCATGACTCCTCTCCTCCCTTTGGCAGGAACTCAAAGTGAAAGGTCCCAAGGACTCCAAGGACAGCCACACGTCTGTCACCATGGAAGGTACCTCGGGGAGCGGGCTGGATTACAGGCACCTACCTTTGTCTGGCTGTGCAGGCAACAGGCTGCGTGAACGCGGCGCCCTTCCCCTTGTGTGTGCGTGTGTGTGAGCGCGTGTGAGCGTGAGCGTGTGTGAGCGCGTGTGAGTGTGAGCTGAGTGCGCGTGTGCGCGCACGCGAGGACTCTAGCCTCGTGCCCAGGCAGCCAGCCAGCTACAAACGTGCTCCTCTTTAGGATGCCAGCAGGCTGCTGGCTCCCTCCCTCCCTACCCCTCCTCCCCTTCCCCTTCCCTCCTCTCCTCGCCACGCGCCTCCCTCCCCTCCCCCTTGCTGGAAGAGCACTCCGGAGCGGCTGCCCGATGCTGGAGTCCGTGCGGCAGCATCAGCAAGGTGGCTGAGTGGCCGGGCTGCTGGTGGGCGCCGGGGAGCCTGGAGCGATGGCTGCACGCTCCCGCCGCGGGGACAGAGGCTGCCATGGAGATTCTCCTCATTATTCGCTTCTGCTGTAACTGCACCTATGGTAACCCAGGTGCTCGCTGTGGGAGGTGGCGGACCCTCCCACCTCTGGGGGCCGGCTGGAGTGGGCTTAGATGTGGCCGGGGAGGTTAGAGGGCCGCAGGGAAGGAGGGTGGGCGAGCGGCTGGACCTGAATTCCCCCTTCGTTTTGGCGGCATCCAGCCTAGAGTTGAAACCTGGGGGCTGCTCAGAGCAGGGCCGCTTGCAAATGGAAGGACCAGGCTGGAGGGGTCCAGGTGGCCCCGAGGATCGGTGGGGAATTGGTGGGCTAGTGTGAGAGAACTTCCTGGAGGGGCTGTTAGGGAGAGACGGCGACGAGCTGTGCCCGCAGACGTAGTAGCCCTGAGGCCAGGGAGAGGGTCTGCGGGGGCCAGGCACAGCGTGGCGATGGGTGGCGATGGTCCGGACGGCGGCGTTGCCAGCCGAGAGGGTGCCAGCGCGAGCCAGAGGGAGAAGTTGGGAGTTTCTTTGTTTCTGGAGAGAGGCGCGGAGGCTGGGCGGCACGGTATTGTGTGCTCCGCGCACATGCAGCAGTAGGCGGAGGACACGGAGGGGCTGTGGGAGCAGGAAGGAGAGGTTTGTTTCCAGCCGTGAGAGACCCCCAGCCGAGGTCTGGGCCCTCAACTGTGGAAGGCAGGTCGGCAGGGCCAGCGGGAGAGGGGTGTGGCAAGCTACTCTGTGAAGGTCACACACACACACACACACACACACACCACCTTTCGGTGGAAGGGACCCGGACCATCCTCCTTGCAGCTCCCGCAGCTGGCTGGGGGCTGGGGGGAAGTCCCGGGACAGGTGCATGTCATCAACACGACTGTCGGTCGTAGGAGGATGAAGCCGGCCCAGGTAGGGAGGTGTCCAGAAGCCCGTGGACCCTGCCTCAAGAGGCAAGACGTGCCAAGGGGTGCCCTGCCTGCCTGTGGCAGGGAGTGGGGTGGGCACGTGTGGCTCCCAGGCCGGCTGCTCTGGGCCTGAGTCTGTGGGAGCAGCAGGCGGCTGGTTTTAGGACCTTCCTCTTCCTTCCCACCAGGTGTTTCGGCTCTGCACCCTTCTCAGTCACTTTGCTTTCCTATCTCCCTGGTAACCTGGAGCTCCTTGGAGCTCCTTGTCGAAGGCTGACTTGAGGGGGATGGTGGCTTGCCGGAAGAGAGATGGCAGGTTTCCTGGGCTCCTTCCCAGGGGCGGCTGTGCTGGAGGGGCTGTGTGGGGCCAGTGCCCCCTGACCTTCTCAGGACCCTCTTGATGGAAGCAAGCTCTGAGGCAGCCTCTCTCCTGCGGCCCAGCAGGGCGGCTGCAGGAACCCTGTTCTCACTTGAAATTGGCCTGGTCAGCGATCAGAGGAGAAATGGTCTTTTTGGTCTGGCCTAGGAGTTGGTCAGGTCTTGACTCTGCCTCCCTGAAAAGGAAACGTACCCTTGGCTTCCTCTCCCTTCCCCAAAAGGAAGCTTCGACTCAGTGAAACGGACCTGGGACCTGGAGTTCACGTTGCTTCGGTCTCCGTGATACTGTTGTTGAAGTCGGCTTCAAAGTGGGGAATGAGGAGTGAAAGGGCCAGCTCGTGAGGAGGGGGCTCACCCCATCCTGGTCACTCTTTCCAAGAACGCTCCTGTGGTTCATTGAGGTTTTACAGGTGCTGCCTTTCCCTGAAGAAGGTGCAGCTCAAAGCAAGGAGTGCGGGTGGATCTACCCAGCTCCCACCACTTGTAGCCACAAGTCTCTGGCCTCAGTTGCCTTGTCTGTAAAATGGGGCTAGTGAGAATTGCTTCCCGTTTTAATCACAGGAAATAATGAGAGCAAAGCAGTTAACTCAGTACCCTTGGGCACAGAGCGAGTACCCAGCAAACTAGAGAGAGACCAGCTTGCTGCCCAAGTCAGTGTCAGTGGAGAGGGAGAGTGGGTGAGGCCGGGCAGGAAGCAGGCCAGCCTGCAGGAGCCCAGGGACAGGGGAAGGGCCAGAGCGAGTGCCTCACCCTGAGTTCTCAGGGGACCCCAGCGTGCAGGGGCCGTGGGGAGCACAAACTTCAGGGCCGCTCTTATTCCCCCGGTTCCCTCCGTATCTGATGTGGTCCCAGTGCCGCCACCCCCCCCACCCCCACCCCCCCCGTGCACCTGCCCTCCTGGCCGCCCTTCCAGGGCTCATTCCACAGCCTTACTCAGGTGGACTCTGGAGGTGACCACAGACATGTTAATAACCCCTCTGAAACCCAACCTGCCATGTGTTCAGACCTCTGAGCTTAGTCAGAAACCTCTTCCTCTTGGGACCCAAGAGAGGGCTGCGGGGAGCCGATAATGCAGTGTCAGCTTTCTGTGGAGCCGCCACTCCGGAGCCCACCCTGGCAGGTGTCTGCTGAGCTTGTGCTTTCTTTTGGGTCTCTGGGGTTCTCCAGTGTGATTTTTTCCCCCTGAAGATGGGCTGAGCCACAGGTGGGTGCCTTAAACAGCCTCAGAAATGGATCCCACCTGAGCTAGGACCTGGGCTGCACCCTCAGTGCCGAGGATACCCCAAGACTGGCCTCATTCCTTCAAGCTTCCATGGCCCATGGGGAGGGTCTCTGGAAACTGCTAGATAAGAAAGGGCTACAGATATGTCATATGAAGTGTATTTACGTAAACCAGTGGTTGGCCGGGTACTCATGCCTGTAATCCCAACTTTTGGCAGACTGAGGCAGGAGGATTGCTTGAGGCCAGGAGTTCGAGACCAGCTTGTATTTGGCTTGAGGCCAGGAGTTCGAGACCAGCAACATAGTGAGACCTTGTCTCTATATTTATTTTTATTTAAACGAAGACTCACTGTGTCGCCCAGGCTGGAGTGCAATGGCGCAATCTCAGCTCACTGCAACCTCTGCCTCCTGGATTCAAGAGATTCCCCTGCCTCAGCCTCCCAAGTAGTTGGGATTATAGGCGCCTGCCACCACACCTGGCTAATTTTTGTATTTTTAGTAGAGATGGGGTTTCACCATGTTGGCCAGGCTGTTCTTGAACTCCTGACCTCAAATGATCCACCCGCTTCGGCCTCCCAAAGTGCTGGGATTACAGGCGTGAGCCACCCTGCCCGGCCCCTCGTCTCTATATTTTTAAAAAAATTAAAATAAATACATAAATAAAACATAAAGCAGTGGTTTTCAACCATTATTATACATTCAAATCAGTAAAGAAGCTTTATAGAAATGCTGATGGCCCTTGTGGTCTTGCAGAGATTTGGGTTGAGTTGACGGGGCTGGGGAGCAGCATCTGTATCTTTTAACCGCTCCCCCAGTGATTCCGACAGGCAGCCAAGCTCGGACTGCGGGTAAGGCTGGTGGCCCTGCTGAGGCTGCATTTTCTTCACAGCCAGCAGATTGCTCCCTGAAGTGTCTGCTTAGCCGCGCACGGGGTATTTATATCTCAGGCTTTGGAGAACTATCAGGTTTGGGGCCCGGCTAGGGCGTGCGTGTTCACGCTGGGACCTGTCACAACCTGGTCTTATGGGACACCCAGTCTGGGATCCTTCTTCCCAGATGACCAACCTGCCTCTGTCACTGCCCCTGCGGCAGGAGGCCCAAGGTCATGACCCCAGGGACAGAGCATCCAGGTGCAGGACTGAAGCTGAGCCTCCTGTTGGGAGGGTGGGCGCAGCCGCGTACAGGAAGGGTGTTGGGAAGTGTTGATCCACCAGCTGCCACCTCCACCTGTCCCTGCTGAATCCCAGCCATCCTCACTTGGTGTCCGGGTTGTGGAGGGTGTGGCTCTTGGGGGCCTGGGCTGGCCTTGCCTGCGTCCTCCCAGCCTCTTTGGGGCTCTCATATGTGAGGCCTAACCTGAGTTGCTTCAGGAAACCTTTGCCCCTCAGGCTGCCACGTGTTTGAGAGCACAGCCTTTTTTCTTTTTTTTTGAGATGGAGTTTTGCTCTTGTTACCCAGGCTGGAGTGCAGTGGCATGATCTTGGCTCGCTACAACTTCCGCCTCCCGGGTTCAAGTGATTTCCCTGCCTCAGCCTCCCAAATAGCTGGGATTACAGGCATGTGCCACCACGCCTGGCTAATTTTTGTATTTTTAATAGAGATGGGGTTTCACTGGTTGGCCAGGCTGGCCTCGGGGAGCAGAGCCTTTCTGTGGAGATCAGGCCAGCCTCCTGGCCTCCAGCCTCCCTGCCTCCAGCCTTCCTGTGCTTTGCTATCTGGGGTTTGAGGATGTGGGGAGGGGTCTTTCCTCTGAGAGATGAGGCCAGTCCTGTGGATCACAGTGAGGCATGCCAATCCCAGCTGGCTGTGCCTGGCCTTCAGCTCCAGGAGCCTGAGAATGATAAGGTCTGGAGAGCTGCCCTTCCTGGAAACACAGCATGTCTCCTTCCCCCATTCTGGGGTCCTGCATGTGGCAGGTGTGCTAGACTCTGCAGGGCATGGCTGGGTGGAGCTGTGTGATTCTGGGGTTCTGCGTGTGGCAGGTATGCTGGACTCTGCGGGGCGTGGCTGGGTGGAGCTGTGTGATTCTGGGGTCCTGCATGTGGCAGGTGTGCTAGACTCTGCAGGGCATGGCTGGGTGGAGCTGTGTGATTCTGGGGTTCTGCGTGTGGCAGGTGTGCTGGACTCTACGGGGCGTGGCTGGGTGGAGCTGTGTGATTCTGGGGTCCTGCGTGTGGCAGGTGTGCTAGACTCTGCGGGGCGTGGCTGGGTGGAGCTGTGTGATTCTGGGGTCCTGCGTGTGGCAGGTGTGCTGGACTCTTCGGGGCGTGGCTGGGTGGAGCTGTGTGATTCTGGGGTCCTGCGTGTGGCAGGTGTGCTGGACTCTTCGGGGCGTGGCTGGGTGGAGCTGTGTGATTCAGGGCTGGGGGTCCAGGAGAGCATCTGCCTTGAGCCAGGTGAGGCCAGGACAGGCCTGGGGAGGGGGGCGGGGCGGCTCTCGATGAAGCCATGTCTGATGGGAGAGGAGGCAGGGCTGCGGAGGGAGCAGGGGCTGCCAGGGCTGTGTGTCACCTGTGTCTGCTGTTTGGTCGGCCCGGGGAGTGAGAACAGAGGTGGGGGCTGCCGTGGGCTCACTCTGGTGTCCCTCGAGGGGTGTTCACGTGGGAAGCATGCGGGTGGGGGGACGAAGCTGGTCTCTGGGGTGTTGGGTTGCCCTCGTCCATCATCCTCTTCCTCCTTCTCCCTGTCTCCCCCGACAGCTCTGCTCTACAAGCCCATTGACCGGGTCACTCGGAGCACCCTAGTCCTACACGTGAGTGTCAAGCCTCCGAATGGCCAGAGAGGGCTTAGGAGTTCAGTGGAAGACTGAGCCTGGGTGAGAGGGTGCTGGAGTCACCGAGAACAGTCCACCTGGGGAATCAGGGGTTCCTAGGCTCCAAGGATGCCTGTCTGGCCCGCGGTATCCATGCCGCCAGGCTAGGGCCTGAATACAGCTTGGCTACTAAGCTTGACGTGGCCAGGTGCTCCCGGGGAGGCAGGCATTCCTGCTTCCCCACCCGCTGCCTCCTGGTCTCCAGTGTCCTTGGAGCAGCTGCAGGGCAGACACAGGGTTTCTCTCCCAGCTGCTCGGGGGGATGAGCCTCCACCTGGTCTCCACACTGGGGAGAGAGTATGACTGTGGCCAGGAGAAGAGGGGGCAGCCAGGGCCCTCTCCCCTGCTGTGCTGGCTCTGATTTTTTTTTTTTTTTTTTTTTTTTGAGGCGGAGTCTCACTCTGTCACCCAGGCTGGAGTGCAGTGGTGCGATCTCGGCTCACTGCAACCTCTGCCTCCTGGGTTCAAGCAATTCTCCTGCCTCAGCCTCCCGAGTAGCTGGGACTACAGGCGCCCGCCACCACGCCCAGCTAATTTTTATATTTTTACTAGAGATGGGGTTTCACCACGTTGCCCAGGCTGGTCTCGAACTTCTGACCTCAAGAGATCCCCCGCCTCGGCCTCCCAAAGTGCTGGGATTTCAGGCATGAGCCGCCGTGCCCGGCCTGACTCTGATTTGTAGTTCAGATTTTGCGGGAATTAGGCAGGTCCCTGAGTGCCCACCCTTTGGATGGGGACTGAGCACTCCCCGGTGGCCACACATCAGGCCCCAGAGCCGCTCCCCTCAACTCACCGCCTCACCCTTCCCAGGACCTGCTGAAGCACACACCTGTGGACCACCCCGACTACCCGCTGCTGCAGGATGCCCTCCGCATCTCCCAGAACTTCCTGTCCAGCATCAACGAGGACATCGACCCCCGCCGGACTGCAGTGACAACGCCCAAGGGGGAGGTGAGCTCAGAGCCCGGCACGGCCCCTCACCCAGGCTGAGAAGTATCAGGTCCCTCGTCCCCTTCTCTCACACACGGGCGGCAGGTCCCTCGTCCCCTTCTCTCACACACGGGCGGCAGGTCCCTCGTCCCCTTCTCTCACACACGGGCGGCAGGTCCCTCGTCCCCTTCTCTCACACACGGGCGGCAGGTCCCTCGTCCCCTTCTCTCACACACGGGCGGCAGGTCCCTCGTCCCCTTCTCTCACACACGGGCGGCACCGGGTGCCTCCTGCCTCTCCAATCCTGATCCCCCATTCCCAGCCAAGGAGAGGTTTTCAGCCCTTGGTCACCCTGATGACCTGCAGCTTTCCAGGCCCTAGGCTGAGAAGTTTAAGTCCAGTGTCTCATTAATCCTCATAATAATCTAGGGAGGCCGGGCACGGTGGCTCACACCTGTAATCCCAGCACTTTGGGAGGCTGAGGCAGGTGGATCACTTGAGTTAGAAGTTTGAGACCAGCCTGGCCAACATGGTGAAGCCCCGTCTTTACTAAAAATACAAAAATTAGCTGGGCGTGGTGGCGGATGCCTGTAGTGCCAGCTACTCAGGAGGCTGAGGCAGGAGAATTGCTTGAACCCAGGAGGCGGAGGTTACAGTGAGCCGAGATCGCACCACTGCACTCCAGCCTGGGTGACAGAGTGAGACTCCATCTCAGAAATAATAATAACAATCCAGTGAGCCAGAAGAACCTGAGGCTGGGGAGTCTCTCCAGGTCCACCACGCAGTCTTTCAGCCACTGGTGTCAGAGCTGGATTCCTCACCTGGGACTGTCTGGAGGCCCACGCCGGGGAAGTGGCCTCCGGGTGCCTCATTCTTGAATGCAGACACCTGCCTCTGGCCAGTGTGATGCCGTCAGGGTCTCCTAGGAAGCGAAGGGAGCAGGAGCTTGGAGCTGCTTCAGCTCGGCCTGCACACGCAGTGGCTTGCGGGGAGCCCACAGCAGGAAAGGCTGGCGTTGGAGGTGGTGGAGGCCGTCCAGGTTGCCGGAATGTCCAGTGGGCACCTGCATGTGGGACAGCCGTTCCCTGGGGGCCCTTCTTGATGCAAGGGTGGGGACAGCCCAGCAAGGGGAGTACCAGGAAGCATGAGAGGGACAGTTGCCTTCGTGGATTGGCAGCCGGGCCCGGGTGAAAGGCTTCCTGTCCAGGGGAGGCCATTAGGCGGCCGTTACGAGTGAGGCTGACAGGGTGTCTGCTCCTGTGGTCTGTTTACGAGCCCCCAGGGTCTCCTGGGGAGAAAGTGGTGAGGGACAGGCCTGGACAGTGTCCACTGGGCAGAGAGAGCCGATTCCGTGCGGCTCCTGGTGCTGATGTGCAGCGTCTGGGGATCCCGTCGTCTGTTTTACTCTGGGGATATCTGAAAAATCTCCAGAGGGCTTAGCGTACCCTCCGTTTTCAGTCATCCTTTTTTTGAGACTGAATCTCATTCCATCGTCCAGGCTGGAGTGCAATGGCGTGACCTCAGCTCCACTGCAGCCTCCACCCTCTGGGTTCAAGCAATTCTCCTGCCTCATCCTCCCAAGTAGCTGAGATTACAGGCAGGCGTCACCATGTCTGGCTAGTTTTTGTATTTTTAGTAGAGACGGGGTTTCGCCACGTTGGCCAGGCTGGTCTCAAACTCCTGACCTCAGGTGATCCACCCGCCTCAGCCTCCCAAATTGCTGGGATGACAGGTGTGAACCACTGCGCCCGGCCTCGGTCATCTTAATTGTATACTTTGAATACGCTCACCTACGTATTACAGCAGATGTAGGTCACACCGTGTATCATACAGGAAAGGCTGGCACAGATGGGGACGACCCCCCGGCTCTGAGCGGGGGTTGGAAACTCTGGAACTCCCACGTGGAGCAGAAACCACCCAGAGCCCAGGTTAGAGTTGGCTGCAGGTCCCCTCTGGGCACTGCTGCAGTCCCAGGCTGGAGGGCCCAGGTCTCATCCCCAGGGGGCTGGAGAAGCCAGGGAGGAGTAGCACAGACAGGCCTGAGTGGGTCTCGGGTCTCGGGTCTCGGTTGAGCCGGGGCTAGATGAAGTTCGCCGCCGCGGTCGGGAGGGATTGCAAACGGGGATGTTCGTGCCCCAGGGTGGAGAAACCAGGTCGTCCCGGGCAGGGGGCTCCAGGGTTAGCCGCGGAGAGCCCCGTGCGTTGCACACACTTAATGTGCCAGGCACTGTGCTGTTTCACATGCACCATCTCGATGAGTCACCTTATGAGGCAGACCTCACTGTCCGCACTTAACAGAAGGTGAATCTGGGATTCAGAGAGGTCAGGGAGCCTGTCTGAGATCACAGCTGAGAAGCCTGTTGGCATTCAAACCCATGCCCATGTGACTCCAAAGGCAGTGCTTGAACCACCTTTGGTTAAGGGATGACAGGCTATGCCGCCTCTCGGTCCAGTCCTCCCTGGCTGGCCGTGCCCCCGTGTGCAGGCTCTGCCCTCGGCCGCATTCCCCTCTGAGCAGGCTGGGGGGTCTGCCATCTCCCTCAGACGCGACAGCTGGTGAAGGACGGCTTCCTGGTGGAAGTGTCAGAGAGCTCCCGGAAGCTGCGGCACGTCTTCCTCTTTACAGATGTCCTACTGTGTGCCAAGCTGAAGAAGACCTCTGCAGGGTGAGTGTGTGAGTCCAGGGGCACGGGGCGGGGGAGGGGGTCCGGACCTCTGCGGGGTGAGTGTGCGAGTCCGGGGCGGGGGAGGGGGTCCTGACCTCTGCGGGGTGAGTGTGCGAGTCCAGGGGCGGGGGAGGGGGTCCGGACCTCTGCGAGGTGAGTGTGTGAGTCCAGGGGCGGGGGAGGGGGTCCTGACCTCTGCGGGGTGAGTGTGTGAGTCCAGTGGCACAGGGCGGGGGAGGGAGGCCGGACCCTGCCACCCATGGAGCCTTCAGCAACTTTGTTGGTTTTTTTTCTTTTGAGACAGGGTCTTGCTCTGTTGCCCAGGCTGGAGTGCAGTGGTGCGATCTCGGCTCACTGCAACCTCTGCCTCCCGGGTTCAAGCGATTTTCCTGCCTCAGCCTCCTGAGTAGCTGGGATTACAGGTGCACGCCACCATGCCACCATGTCTGGCTAATTTTTGTATTTTTAGTAGAGACGGGGTTTTGCCATGTTGGCCAGGCTGATCTCAAACTCCCAACCTCAGGTGATCTGCCCGCCTCGGCCTCCCAAAGTGCTGGGATTACAGGCATGAGCCACCGCGCCTGGCCGGTTTTTTCCTTTTAAAAACTATATTAATTAACTTAATTTCACTACATAGCCTTTTTTCCTGAAAGTAAGTCATGTTTTTAATTATAAAGATAATATAAGGCCATTGGAGGAAACCCCGTCCCCCACTGAAGCATGAGGTCCGACTCCTGCCGCGCTGCTTCCTTCCCTGTTTTTAAATGTTCTCATGTTTCTTCACACAGTCGTAATCACTGTGAATGCCCAATTTGGGGCTCTGCTGTTTCTGTTTCGTGTCATAAGCATTTTCCCTGTTGCTGCCTCATCTTCATAATCATCCTTTTACTTTCCTGCACGATGTTACCCGTAGATGTGCCATCGTCTACTTAAGCATTCTCCTTTTATTAGACATCTCTGAATTTCTGCTAACTGCAGTGCTGTGAATATTCACCACGTCTCCTGCTACTATTTATTGAGGGTTTATGCCATGCCAGGTGCCGTGACACATGCTTTGAATACATGATTTCTAGTCCTCCCAACACCTCCACAAAGTAGCGACTGTTGTTCCCTAATCATAGATGAGAGAGGAGTCTTGGAGAAGGTAAATAAGCAGCCCAAGCTCGCACAGCTAGAGGCACAGGTGGGACTGGAACCCCAAGCTGACGTGCAAACTCCTTTGAGCCTCCTTCTCTCTACCCGGGAGGGTGGGACTGGAACCCCAAGCTGATGTGCAAGCTCCTTTGAGCCTCCTTCTCTCTACCCGGGAGTGTGGGTCTGCTCTGTGCCTTGAGCAGAGGCTCATTCTGCGTTCATTCACACATTCTTCCACCCACACTTAGTGATCAACTGCAGTGTGCCAAGCACACCCCTTCTCACGGCTGAGAAGCGGCAGTCTGGATTCAAACCCGTGTCTGTGGGACTCGTTTACCATCAGGCTATCTTGCCTCTCCCTTCAGCCCTCCCTGGTTGGCTGTGCCCCCAAGTACAGCACAGGGGACTCCACAGCCAGTGTGTTACACCACCAGGCTATCCTACCTCTCCCTTCAGCCCTCCCTGGCTGGCTGTGCCCCCAAGTATAGCTCAGGGGGAGCAAGCCCCACGCCCACCTCAACACTCAAGGGTCAGAATGAGAAGTGCAAATCTAAGTCCTAGGGGAAGGATCGATGATTATGAACGTCAATAAAGGGATGACTGGGCGGGCACGGTGGCTTATGCCTGTAATCCCAGCACTTTGGGAGGCCAAGGCGGGTGGATCACCTGAGGTCAGGAGTTTGAGACCAGCCTGGCCAACATGGCAAAACTCCGTCTCTACTGAAAGTACAAAAATTAGCTGGGTGTGATGGCAGGCACCTATAATCCCAGCTACTTGGGAGAATGAGGTGGGAGAATCGCTTGAACCCTGGAGGCAGAGGTTGGAGTGAGTGGAGATCGCGCCATTGCACTCCAGCCTGGGAACAAGAGCAAAACTCCATCTCACAAAATAAAAATAATTTAAAAAATAATAATAATAAAGGACATGACTCCCTGGAACTAGATCATGTTTGAGATAGTTCTGAGGCAGAGATGGCAATAATAAGCACACATGCTTCTGCCTGTCGTCCTTTGCGATGGCAGACATTACTAATCACATATGCCTCTGCCTGCTGTCCTTTGCCATGGCAGACATCACTAATCAACTAGGGCACACTTTCTTGCTAGACTTGGATGTGGCTTTGTAATCCTCCACCCAGTGTTGACCCATGTGACCACTCTTGATAAGAGGTGGCATTTGGAATAACACCTGTATTCCATTGCTAGCCTGAAGGATATTGAACACGGATAGTCTAGAAGGGAGGGAGGGGATTGTGGTGGGGAATAGGAAAATGTGAGCCCAGCCAGGAAGGCTTCGCTCTTCTTGATACCTAAGTGGTTTGGGATGTTTGACAACATGAGTCATCTGGGCCAGAAGCCTGGTAAGGTGAAGGGGCGGAGTTGCTCCCTGCGGGCGGGGCGGACCCCAGAACCCAGCTTTCATCACTCCAGTGTGTGTTTCCCAATCAGGCTCCTCAGGAGCAGGGATCGTTCTTGCTTCTGGCGAGTTCTCAGTCAACCCCTGTCAGTGGTTCTGTGGTTCTGGACCCAAGAGTTGAGGCTGGAAGAGCCAGGCTCCCTCTGGCTCATGGCTCCCTCTGGCTCGTTTGCAGGAAGCACCAGCAGTATGACTGTAAGTGGTACATCCCCCTGGCCGACCTGGTGTTTCCATCCCCCGAGGAGTCTGAGGCCAGCCCCCAGGTGCACCCCTTCCCAGACCATGAGCTGGAGGACATGAAGATGAAGATCTCTGCCCTCAAGAGTGAAATCCAGAAGGAGGTGAGCAGAGCTTGGTATCTGAGCCTGGGGCCCTTTGAGCCAGCTGTGTTGGGGGAGGTGGAGGCAGGAAGTTGTAAGGTTTGAGACTTTGAGAGGGAGCCTTGAGTGTGTAGTTACTAAGGGAAAGACCCCGACTACAGTAGCTCCAAGCAGATCGAGGGGGTCAGTGCTCAGGATTTCATAGGGCTAACATGGGAAGTGCCCTGGAAAGCAGTGCATGTTGAACACGATAGAAAGGGGAAGCAAGTAGCCAGGCGCAGTGGCTCACACCTGTAATCCCAGCACTTTGGAAGGCCGAGGCAGGTGGATCACCTGAGGCCAGGAGTTCGAGACCAGCCTGGCCAACATGGCAAAACCCTGTCTCTACTAAAAGTACAAAAATTAGCAGAGTGTGGTGGTGGGCACCTGTAATCCCAGCTACTCGGGAGGCTGAGGCAGTAGAATGGCTTGAACCCGGGAGGTGGAGGTTGCAGTGAGCCAAGAACATGCCAATGCACTCCAGTCTAGGCAATAGAGTGAGATTCTGTCAAAAACAAAAAAAAAAAGTGGAGGTAGAGGGAAGCAAGAGAAGAAAAAGCAGGCTTTTGTAAGGAAAAGCAGGACCTGTGCAAGGAAAAGGACCTGGGAGGCCTCTCAGAAACTGACAGATCAAGTAGGCAAATAAATAAGGAGAGAGAGGACCTGAATGCCACAATTAACATGCTTGACTTAAAAATGCAGAGAAGCTTGTGCCCTGACAGAAAACTGAGATTCTTGTCACACACGTTTGGGACCTTCACATTTATCCTATAATAGGCCACTAAGGAAATCTCAAAATTTTTCTGCAAGTTGATAGCATACAAGTCATGTTCACAGACCACAGTGGAGTAAAATTAGAAGTGAACAAGAATATTGGTCAGCCTGGGTGCAGTGGCTCACACCTTTAATCCCAGAACTTTGGGAGGCTGAGGATGGTGGATCGCCTGAGGTCAGGAATTCAAGATCAGCCTGGCCAACATGGTAAAAATCCATCTCTACTAAAAATACAAAATTATCCAGGCGTGGTGGATCATGCCTGTAATCCCAGCACTTTAGGAGGCCCAGGCAGGCAGGTCACCTGAGGTCAGGAGTTTGAGACCAGCCTGGCCAACATGGTGAAACCCCATTTCTACTGAAAATACAAAATTAGCCTGGCGTGGTGGCTTCCGCCTGTAATCCCAGCTACTCAGGAGGCTGAGACAGGAGAATTGCTTGAACCTGGGAGGCAGAGGTTGCATTGAGCTGAGATTCCGCTGCTGCACTCCAGCCTGAGCAACAGAGTGAGACTGTCTCAAAAAAAAAAAAAAAAAAAAAAAGCATTGGTTTGGAAAGTTCAAACTGACAAGGTAAAGAGGAAATCAAAATTCAAAATGAGAACTGCAAACTGTTTAGTGCTGTCTGGAAATGAGTGTACTACATACCAGTACCCATGGATGCAGCCAAAGTGCTGTTTAGAGGAACATGAATAGCCCTCAGTTCACATAACAACAGTGTCTAGAGGAACATGCATAGCCCTCAGTTCACATAACAACAGCGTCTAGAGGAACATGCATAGCCCTCAGTTCACATAACAACAGCGTCTAGAGGAACATGCATAGCCCTCAGTTCACATAACAACAGCGTCTAGAGGAACATGCATAGCCCTCAGTTCACGTAACAGCAGCGTCTAGAGGAACATGCATAGCCCTCAGTTCACGTAACAGCAGCATCTAGAGGAACATGCATAGCCCTCAGTTCACGTAACAACAGTGTCTAGAGGAACATGCATAGCCCTCAGTTCACGTAACAGCAGTGTCTAGAGGAACATGCATAGCCCTCAGTTCACGTAACAGCAGTGTCTAGAGGAACATGCATAGCCCTCAGTTCACATAACAACAGCGTCTAGAGGAACATGCATAGCCCTCAGTTCACGTAACAGCAGCGTCTAGAGGAACATGCATAGCCCTCAGTTCACGTAACAGCAGCGTCTAGAGGAACATGCATAGCCCTCAGTTCACGTAACAACAGTGTCTAGAGGAACATGCATAGCCCTCAGTTCACGTAACAGCAGTGTCTAGAGGAACATGCATAGCCCTCAGTTCACGTAACAGCAGTGTCTAGAGGAACATGCATAGCCCTCAGTTCACATAACAGCAGTGTCTAGAGGAACATGCATAGCCCTCAGTTCACATAACAACAGTGTCTAGAGGAACATGCATAGCCCTCAGTTCATGTAACAACAGTGTCTAGAGGAACATGCATAGCCCTCAGTTCACATAACAACAGTGTCTAGAGGAACATGCATAGCCCTCAGTTCACATAACAACAGTGTCTAGAGGAACATGCATAGCCCTCAGTTCACGTAACAGCAGTGTCTAGAGGAACATGTATAGCCCTCAGTTCACGTAACAACAGTGTCTAGAGGAACATGCATAGCCCTCAGTTCACATAACAACAGTGTCTAGAGGAACATACATAGCCCTCAGTTCACATAACAGCAGTGTCTAGAGGAACATGCATAGCCCTCAGTTCACATAACAACAGTGTCTAGAGGAACATGCATAGCCCTCAGTTCACATAACAACAGTGTCTAGAGGAACATGCATAGCCCTCAGTTCACGTAACAGCAGTGCTAGAGGAACATGCATAGCCCTCAGTTCACATAACAACAGTGTCTAGAGGAACATGCATAGCCCTCAGTTCACATAACAGCAGTGTCTAGAGGAACATGCATAGCCCTCAGTTCACATAACAACAGCGTCTGGAGGAACATGCATAGCCCTCAGTTCACATAACAACAGTGTCTGGAGGAACATGCATAGCCCTCAGTTTACATAACAGCAGCGTCTAGAGGAACATGCATAGCCCTCAGTTCACGTAACAACAGTGTCTAGAGGAACATGCATAGCCCTCAGTTCACATAACAGTGTCTAGAGGAACATGCATAGCCCTCAGTTCACATAACAACAGTGTCTAGAGGAACATGTATAGCCCTCAGTTCACGTAACAACAGTGTCTAGAGGAACATGCATAGCCCTCAGTTCACATAACAACAGTGTCTAGAGGAACATGCATAACCCTCAGTTCACATAACAGTGTCTAGAGGAACATGCATAGCCCTCAGTTCACATAACAACAGTGTCTAGAGGAACATGCATAGCCCTCAGTTCACATAACAACAGTGTCTGGAGGAACATGCATAGCCCTCAGTTCACGTAACAGCAGTGCTAGAGGAACATGCATAGCCCTCAGTTCACGTAACAACAGTGTCTAGAGGAACATGCATAGCCCTCAGTTCACATAACAGCAGTGTCTAGAGGAACATGCATAGCCCTCAGTTCACATAACAACAGTGTCTGGAGGAACATGCATAGCCCTCAGTTCACATAACAACAGTGTCTAGAGGAACATGCATAGCCCTCAGTTCACATAACAGCAGCGTCTAGAGGAACATGCATAGCCCTCAGTTCACGTAACAACAGTGTCTAGAGCAACATGCATAGCCCTCAGTTCACATAACAGTGTCTAGAGGAACATGCATAGCCCTCAGTTCACATAACAACAGTGTCTAGAGGAACATGCATAGCCCTCAGTTCACATAACAACAGCGTCTAGAGGAACATGCATAGCCCTCAGTTCACGTAACAACAGTGTCTAGAGGAACATGCATAGCCCTCAGTTCACGTAACAGCAGTGTCTAGAGGAACATGTATAGCCCTCAGTTCACGTAACAACAGTGTCTAGAGGAACATGCATAGCCCTCAGTTCACGTAACAGCAGTGTCTAGAGGAACATGCATAGCCCTCAGTTCACGTAACAGCAGTGTCTAGAGGAACATGTATAGCCCTCAGTTCACGTAACAACAGTGTCTAGAGGAACATGCATAGCCCTCAGTTCACGTAACAGCAGTGCTAGAGGAACATGCATAGCCCTCAGTTCACATAACAACAGTGTCTAGAGGAACATGCATAGCCCTCAGTTCACATAACAGCAGTGTCTAGAGGAACATGCATAGCCCTCAGTTCACATAACAACAGCGTCTAGAGGAACATGCATAGCCCTCAGTTCACATAACAACAGTGTCTAGAGGAACATGCATAGCCCTCAGTTCACATAACAGCAGCATCTAGAGGAACATGCATAGCCCTCAGTTCACGTAACAACAGCATCTAGAGGAACATGCATAGCCCTCAGTTCACATAACAGTGTCTAGAGGAACATGCATAGCCCTCAGTTCACATAACAACAGTGTCTAGAGGAACATGCATAGCCCTCAGTTCACATAACAACAGCGTCTAGAGGAACATGCATAGCCCTCAGTTCACGTAACAACAGTGTCTAGAGGAACATGCATAGCCCTCAGTTCACATAATAGCAGTGTCTAGAGGAACATGTATAGCCCTCAGTTCACATAACAACAGTGTCTAGAGGAACATGCATAGCCCTCAGTTCACATAACAACAGTGTCTAGAGGAACATGCATAACCCTCAGTTCACATAACAGTGTCTAGAGGAACATGCATAGCCCTCAGTTCACATAACAACAGTGTCTAGAGGAACATGCATATCCCTCAGTTCACATAACAACAGTGTCTGGAGGAACATGCATAGCCCTCAGTTCACGTAACAGCAGTGCTAGAGGAACATGCATAGCCCTCAGTTCACGTAACAACAGTGTCTAGAGGAACATGCATAGCCCTCAGTTCACATAACAGCAGCGTCTAGAGGAACATGCATAGCCCTCAGTTCACATAACAACAGTGTCTGGAGGAACATGCATAGCCCTCAGTTCACATAACAACAGTGTCTAGAGGAACATGCATAGCCCTCAGTTCACATAACAGCAGCGTCTAGAGGAACATGCATAGCCCTCAGTTCACGTAACAACAGTGTCTAGAGGAAGGCACCACGGGAGGAGCATCCCTGTGAGTGGAGGAAGGGCCTGGAGCGGTTTGGTCAGCTTGGTCTGTTTTCCTCACCTCTCAGGTTCAGCTTAGGCCTCACCACCCCTGGGAAGCTTCTCTGACACCCACGCCCACCACAGTCTTGGTTGGGTGCCCTGTCCCCAGATCCTGTGGCTTTTTGTTCACCTGTGGCTTTGCTTAAATGGTACTGAATTGTAATTGCATTGTCAGACTCCTCTCTTCCCCACTGGAATTTGAACTCCAGGGACAGCGCTATTTTCTTCTGTTCCATGTTCCTCATATTCGACACGTAGAAAACAGGTGGTTAGGGCCCAGCATGGTGGTTTACACCGGTAATCCCAGTACTTTGGGAGGCTGAGACGGGTGGGTCACTTGAGGCCAGGAGTTCAAGACCAGCCTGGCCAACATCATGAAGCCCCGTCTCTATGAAAAATACAAAAGTTAGCCGGGTGTGGTGGTGGGTGCCTGTAATCCCAGCCACATGGGAGGCTGAGGCAAAAGAATTGTGTGAACCCGGGAGGTGGAGGTTGCAGTGAGCCGAGATCACGCCACTGCACTCCAGCCTGGGCAACAGAGTGAGTGGGACTCCATCTCAAAAAAAAAAAGGCACTTAGTAAACAAACAATTATTGAAGAAAACATAACCAGATGGCCTCTCTGAGGATCCTTTCAACTCAAGCATCTCCCTTTGAACAGGGGAAAGCAAGATCACCATTACAGCCCCAGGAGTGTTCAGGGCTGGGGGATGTCCTAGGACAGAGGGTCCAACTGGTGGTACATCTGCCCAGAGGGCTTCCTCGCCAGCACAGCTGTCCCCCTCCTGAACGGCTGGGCCCTGCCCACAGTGCCCGCCCAGGAGCATCCTGCGTGCCTGTTTCCCACCCGCCCCTGGGAGGCTTGCTGCCTCCCCGTTGCCCCAGCTGTGCAGACGTGGCCTTGTGCCCAGTCGAGTCAACAGTCAACACTCAGTGAGCCCCACTGGCTGTGCTGCCTGGGGTGTGCCGGGTGCCTCATGTATATCCCTGTCCAGTGGAGGAAGCAGACACGCCCCTTGCTGACCACAGAGTGTGGTACATGTGAGTCACTGGAGAGGCACAGGTGCCGTCCTCTGAGTCACAGAAGAAGCAGTGATTTGTTTTTTGTTTTTTGTTTTTTTTTGAGATGGAGTCTCACTTTGTCACTGTCGCCCAGGCTGGAGTGCAGTGGCACAATCTCGGCTCACTGCAACCTCCACCTCCCGGGTTCAAGCAATTCTTCTACCTCAGCCTCCTGAGTAGCTGGGAATAAAGGCGTCCGCCACCACGCCTGGCTAATTTTTTGTATTTTTAGTAGAGACGGGGTTTCACCGTGTTAGCCAGGCTGGTCTCAAACTCCTGACCTCATGATCCACCCGCCCCGGCCTCCCAAAGTGCTGGGATGACAGGTGTGAGCCACCGTGCTCAGCCTTGTTCTCTTGATAATAATTTTTTAAATTTTCATGTTTTTTCTAATCCCCAATATAATACTGGCTGGTTTTAATGAGAAATGCTCGTAGTACCAGCATGTACAGGGTAAAGCTGGTCGCCACTCACCTCCCACTGCTGACAGTTTGAGGTGTATTCTTCTGAACTCTTCTTTGCTTATGCTGGTGTGCGCCCGCGTGTCCAATGAGACTAGACTACACGTGCTGTTTTGCAACTTCAGCATTTTACTCCACAGTGGGTCTTTGAGCCCTTTGGATGTATCAGATTCTTTTTCTTTCTTTTTGAGGTAGAGTCTCGCTCTGTCACCCAGGCTGGAGTGCACTGGTGAGATTTGGGCTCACTGGAACTTCCACCTCCCGGGTTCAAGCGATTCTCGTGCCTCAGCCTCCCGAGTAGCTGGGATTACAGGCGCCCGCCACCACGCCCGGTAGTTTTTGCATTTTTAGTAGAGACGGAGTTTCACCACGTTGGCCAGGGTGGTCTCGAACTCCTGACCTCAAACGATCCGCCCACCTCGGCCTCCCAAAGTGCTGGGATTACAGGCGTGAGCCACCGCGCCTGGCAGTATCAGATTCTTTTTAACAACTGCCTCCTGCTCTGTCGCTTGGCTGCATACAAATGTTTTTGGGTGTTTGGATTGTCTCTGATTCTTCGCTCTTAGCAGGCAAGTCAACAGTAAACATCACTGCGCAGGTGCCTCTGCAGTAGGTTCCCTCCAGGTGGGATGGGCAGGGCAGGGTGAGTGTGCGCTTAATTGACAGGCTTTTACCTCTGAAAAAGCTGTGACTGGTGGCATTCCCCCTGCGGTGTGTGAGGGTGACTGTCCCCCACAGTGTCACAACACTGGCTGTGAACATTCTTTACAATTTTGCCAGTCCAGTGGGTTAAAAAGAACAAAACACCATAGAGGTGAATTCTAACTGAGGAGCTTGAGGATGGCCTTGGGAGCTGAGACTTGAAGCATAATGGTGGTTAATAAAAGGGAGGGGGTCCTTTACGAAACAGACAGAAACTTGGAACATTGAGGGAGCAGGCTCTGCCCGCAGAGGATGAATGTCTGGTGAGAGGGGGAGGCTGAGCCGACGGGACCTGGTGGGTTGTCTGCCGGGCAGGGAGGCTGGAACCCTGCCATGGGGGCCTTGGTGCCAGGCTAGCAGGTGGGGCTTCAGGCTGAAAGGTGTCTGAGGTTTCTTTAAGCAGGTGTCTCTGTTGTACCCAGGATTTAATGTGTAGAGGCAGCAGAGTGACAGTACAGAGAGGTTAATACTACTGTAATATTTGTATTATTTAGGGTTCTCAAGAGAAGGAGGCATAGCACCCCGCCCAGGGCCACGTGGAGAGGTGCCAGCTTTGAACAGGAGGCAGGAATGGAAAGAAAGTGTGGCCACAGCTTTTCTGTGGAGAAACAGGGCAGGGAAAGGGCTTGGCACCAGCTGGCTTCCGTTATGTCGGCAGCCCTGGGCTAGAGGAGTGGTCTCTGGTGACCTGGTCCCTGGCCCTGGGTGACGTGGGGCAGAGGAGATGCTGGCTTGGCGAGTGAGCGTCAGGTAGAGAAGGTGGTTGGGGACATGGGCTCTGGATCAGTGGGTGTGTGTATGAAAGCTGTGCTCATAGGGCATCACTGACAGGCTTAGGAATTAGTGAGCCCTGTGGGGGAGCAGTTTCTCACCCAGCTACCCGCCTCTCCTGCCACAAGATGTCAAAACATCACGAAATACGGAAAATGTAAAGAGCATGTTAACACACAGTGGAGTGTCGTGCTTAGTGCTGCTCGTGAGAAAGGCCCGAGTGTGAGGGGAACCCTCTGTGTCCCCATCTCCTGCAGAAAGCCAACAAAGGCCAGAGCCGGGCCATCGAGCGCCTGAAGAAGAAGATGTTTGAGAATGAGTTCCTGCTGCTGCTCAACTCCCCCACAATCCCGTTCAGGATCCACAATCGGAATGGAAAGGTCAGGATGGGTGGGGGTGGGACCAAGACAGCCCCTTCCTTAGTCCAGAGCAGCCCACTCTGTGGCTCCTGGCCCTGACCTGTACGAACCGGAAACTCAGGCCCCCTCTTCCTGAGGAGGCTGCCATGGCTCCAGCTGTTGACTCGCTCTCCCCTCTCGTGTGGAATGAGTGCCCTCTGCTGGCCGTCCCTGGCACAGCCGCTCCTGTCACCTTGGCTTCCCAGGAAGGAGCTCCCCCTTCACCCACCCACCCCCAGCTGCCTCCTCCTGCAAGGTCAGCTGTGCCTGGATAAGGAGGAGCTTTGGGCCGGGCACAGTGGCTCATGCCTGTCATCCCAGCACTTTGGGAGGCTGAGGCAGGCGAATCACCTGAGGTCAAGAGTTTGAGACCAGCCTGGCCAACATGGCAAAACTCTGTCTCTACTAAAAACACAAAAATTAGCCGGGCGTGGTGGTGGGCACCTGTAATCCCAGCTACTCAGGAGGCTGAGGCAGGAGATTGGCGTGAACCCGGGAGGTGGAGGTTGCAGTGAGCCGAGATTTTGCCATTGCACTAGAGCCTGGGCAACAAGAGCGAGACTCTGTCTCAAAAAAAAAAAAAAAAAAAAGATAAAAGGAGCTTTGTTGGGGTCCCCAGGATCTGGGAGTACGCTTTGCCTGACTGTGGTCACCCACTTTATGCTTATCTCCTCTCTTCAGAGTTACCTGTTCCTACTGTCCTCGGACTACGAGAGGTCAGAGTGGAGAGAAGCAATTCAGAAACTACAGAAGAAGGGTAAATTCCTGCCTCTTCCACGCTCCCCAATGATGTCCGTGGCATTGATGGGCCTTTTGTATTTCTAAGCGTTTCATGTCCAGTATCACGTCTTTGGCCCTCGCAGTCACCCTCAGAGGTGCCAGGGTGAGCGTTTAAGGATGTTACGGATTAATTGAGACCCAAAGAATCTAACTGATTGGCTGAAAGACATGATGATTTAGTCCTGGGACTGGACCCAGAGCCCAGCCTGGGCTTTCTCTCTCTCTCTACCTCTCTCTCTCTCTCACACACACACACACAGAGACACACACACACACACACACACACACATACACACATACACAGAGGCTGGGTACGGTGGCTTACGCCTGTAATCCCAGTCAGGAGTTTGAGATCAGCCTGGGCAACGTGGTGAAACCCCGTCTCTACTAAAAACACAAAAATTAGCCAGGTGTGGTGGTGGGCACCTGTAATCCCAGCTACTCAGGAGGCTGAAGCAGGAGAATCCCTTGAACCTGAGAGGCGGAGGTTGCAGTGAGCTGAGATCACAGCACTGCACTCCAGCCTGGGCGACAGAGTGAGACTCCGTTTAAAAAAAAAACGAAAACAAAACGCATACACCACACACACACACACACACACACACACACACACACACACACACACACACACACACACAAACCTCTTCAGTTAGATTCTCCTACTCTGACCCCTCTCGCAGCATCTACACCAGTCCTGCTGTGTCCACAAATCCTTCCCCCTCCCTCGCAA
The DNA here is from genome assembly GCF_000001405.40 of Homo sapiens. Taxonomy (NCBI): domain Eukaryota; kingdom Metazoa; phylum Chordata; class Mammalia; order Primates; family Hominidae; genus Homo; species Homo sapiens. The sequence continues at coordinate 1,057,216 of NC_000017.11, read as the reverse complement.
GGACCAAGTCTGCCCCAGGGATTAAGCCGTCTTCCTGCAGCAGCCCCCAGGGAAGAGCAGCCGGTCCTGGTGGACCAGTGCCCACGCTCCCTTCTCTCTCGGCTCTCCCTCCAGATCTCCAGGCCTTTGTCCTGAGCTCAGTGGAGCTCCAGGTGCTCACAGGATCCTGTTTCAAGCTTAGGACTGTACACAACATTCCTGTCACCAGCAATAAAGACGGTAAGCTCGGGAACCAGAGGTGGCCCAACCGGCAGGTCCCAGCCCTCAGAGCGTGGCCGGCTTCCCGTAAGGACTCAGACAGACATGTGGCTGTAAATGGCTGATCCCTGCTCGGCTGTGCTGAGACTGTTGAGTGGCCAGGACACAGCTTGGGTAGGGGTGACTGTCTACTGAGTTCCCAGATGACCCCAGCTTTTCCTTGGGCCCCTCTGTCTGGCTTGGGAGAACTGGCACCCTGGTGCACTGAGATTGTGCTGTTAATATATTCATGAGAGAGCAGACCCGGTAGATAAAATGGTGTATGGGAAATGAGGCTGGAAGTTTCCAGGGACCAGCTCTTGAAAGGCCTTGAATCCCAAGCAAGGGAGTTTGGAATTCATGCTGTAAGCCCGGGAGTCTGGGGGGGTTTTGAGCAGTGGGGAGCTGTGATCAGGGCTGGGAACTGACCGGAGTGGGTGTATTCTAGCTGCCTGTGTGCTGGGAAAGGGTCCACTTTGTGAACGGGGTCCTGAAGGCAAGCTTTCCTCGACATAAATCATTAGCAGAATGATTTATCATATTGGTCAGTTTTCAGTGCCAGGATAGGCAGGATTTGGAGGGAGAGACAGTACCCATGGGGAATGGTACTAAGTCCCTGGGCCAGGATGGTGGGTGTGCTGGACCCCCCCAGGCTGAGTGGAGGAGAGAAGGACCCCCTAGCCCTACCCCGGGCAGCTCACATATAAGGCCGCCGTGGCCTTCGGAAACTTTTTCATCTGGCCACCAGGTGGTGATGTTGGACCAAGACTCAGCTGAGTCTCATACCCCGTCTGCCTCCCGCCGGCCTGGGGTGGAGGCTGAGGGGATCCGCTGACCACCCTCTGCCCTGGGGGCTTTTCTCTCTTGCAGACGATGAGTCTCCAGGACTCTATGGCTTCCTTCATGTCATCGTCCACTCTGCCAAGGGATTTAAGCAATCAGCCAGTAAGTGCCCTGGCCAGGACGAGGTTGGGTGGGCCATTGTGGATTCTGCACTGCTCTGCCCAGGATGGGGCCCTGCCAGCACGCCTTTAGACATGGGGCATTCCCCTGGAGGCCAGAAACCAGCTCCTCTTGGCAGGGAGGTCACCCCTGGCCTTTGTCTCCAAAGTCCTCTTTCTCAAGCCCTCCCTGAAGCTGTCTGAAACCTAGGGGCCGGGCGCGGTGGCTCACCCCTGTAATCCCAGCACTTTGGGAGGCCCAGGCGGGCGGATCACGAGGTCAGGAGTTCGAGACCATCCGGGCCAACATGGTGAAACCCCGTCTCTACTAAAAATACTAAAATTAGCGTGGGCATGGCGGTGGACGCCTGTAGTCCCAGCTACTTGGGAGGCTGAGGCCAGAGAATCCCTTGAACCCGGGAGGCGGAGGTTGCTGTGAGCTGAGATCATGGCATTGCACTCCACCCTGGGCGACAGAGCGAGAATCCGTCTCAAAAAAAAAAAAAAGAAACCGAGTGCGACAAACACGTGGACTCCAACTTCATATCTGAGGGCGACAAACACGTGGACTCCAACTTCATATCTGCCCATGACAAGCTGTGTGACCTTGGGCAAGTTTCTTAACCTCTCTGGGCCTCCACTAAAAGGCAGTCACGCTTGTGAATTTTGACCCGAGAGCAGGCTGGGATATGATCGTGTGTGTGCAACGCTGGTGTGCTGCCACGCTCATCGCTTTTTCTCCCCTTCCCCCTTGTGGGTTCCTCATACTAAATCTGTTTTTAGTGTCTCACAAAGTAGGATTGCACTTTTTAATTTTTAAAAAATTTTTTTTTAGAGACAGGTTCTCCCCATGTTGGCCAGGCTGGTCTTGAACTCCTGGGCTCAAGCCATCCTCCCACCTCAGCCTCCCAAAGTGCTGAGATTACAGGCGTGAGCTGCTGCGCCCGGCCTGGTTGCGCTTTTTATCTACCTGTTATCCACACGGGAATCTGTGAGTCAGTTAGACAGCTAATAGTTTCTACCCATTTGCCAGAGGAGGTAACCGAGTCACAGAGAGGAGAAAAGACTTAACATCACAGAGGATCAGAAACCCTGACTCTCTCCCTCTCCACCTGCCCCTCCCACTCCCTGCTCTTCACTGGCAGGTGGGGTCTGCCCTCACCCCTCCCTGCAGCGCCCCACACAGAGGTGACTCCCCGGGCCGTTAGAGCAGCCTTTCCCAGGAAGCCTCCCTGAGTTCCTGGGGGCAAACTGGCCTCCCTTCTTTGTCCCTTCTTTGTGCCCACATCCCCTCAGGTTCCTTGTGCCCCCATCCCCTCAGGTTCCTTGTGCCCCCATCCCCTGAGGTTCCTTGTGCCCCCATCCCCTCAGGTTCCTTGTGCCCCCATCCCCTGAGGTTCCTTGTGCCCACATCCCCTGAGGTTCCTTGTGCCCCCATCCCCTCAGGTTCCTTGTGCCCCCATCCCCTCAGGTTCTTTGTGCCCCCGTCCCCTCAGGTTCTTTGTGCCCCCATCCCCTGAGGTTCCTTGTATCCCCATCCCTTTGAGGTTCCTTGTGCCCCCATCCCCTGAGGTTCCTTGTGCCCCCATCCTGCTCAGGGCAAGCTGGTTATGGCACCTGTCATGCTGTTTTGTCACTTAACAATTTGCGTCTCCCACTGTGAGTTCTCTGAGGGCGGGAACCAGGTCTCCTTTACCCTGGGATGCATGGGAGCTCAGAAATGTGGAATGAAGTCGTTAATTTACACAGCACCTACCGTGCACCTGGAGAAGGTGAGAACATGGCTGGCGTGTGGACGTACTCACATGTGCAAAGCCTGTGGCGTGTTCAGAGCCTCTCAGTCTCACGGTCCGCTCTGAGCCTCCGGCATCCCGCCGAGGTCACGGAAACCATCCCTGTTTTACACACGAGGACGCCGAGGCTCGGAGGGGCTCAAGGTTCCTTCCTGGAGTCACACAGTAGCAGGTGGTGCAGCAGAATCCACGTCTTCCGGCACCAGAGCCGGAGCTCTAACCTTTTGGGCACTTCTCGATGTCTGGCCGGGAACACCACACGGTCCCTCAGGCTGCTTGTTACCGTGGAAGCTTCCTGAACTCTCTCCAGACCCACAGACCTCCCTTCTTGGGGGCTGCCGCTGAGGAGCTTCTGGCTAGTGAGCTCTGAAGCACTGTCCCACCCATGTCTGGACCAGGCGCCACCACTCCATGTCCCCAGATGCCGCCCCTCCCTCTCCTGCTTCCCGTTGGCCGGGAGGTCCTCGCCTCAGGGAGCCGACCCGTGGCCTCCCAGCCTGGGCGGGTGTCAGAGCCGGCTGAGCTGCTCCAAAATCTCTCTTTACCCCCAGATTATCCTCACTCCCTTCGCCGCCGCCACCCCTGACCCACTCATATGTCTGTTCTCACTCAGAGGTGAGGCCCTGTGTCTTCAGCCGTGGTAAACTCAGGACCTCTGGACAGGCAGGCCCAGGGTGTAGGCACCATGACTTTTCCTGCTGTGCAGACAGGAACCTGGGGAGAGAAGGGAGGTGATCTGTGCAGAGCTGGGGTGTGGACCCAGATGGTCTGACTCCGGAACCCTCGCTCTGACCCTGTGAGCCGTCCCCAGCTCCTTCCGGAACCCTCCCTCTGACCCTGTGAACCCTCCCCCAGCCCGTTCCGGAACCCTCCCTCTGACCCTGTGAGCCCTCCCCCAGCCCCTTCTCGAACCCTCCCTCTGACCCTGTGAACCCTCCCCCAGCCCCTTCCGGAACCCTCCCTCTGACCCTGTGAACCCTCCCCCAGCCCCTTCCGGAACCCTCCCTCTGACCCTGTGAGCCCTCCCCCAGCCCCTTCCGGAACCCTCCCTCTGACCCTGTGACCCCTCCCCCAGCCCCTTCCGGAACCCTCCCTCTGACCCTGTGACCCCTCCCCCAGCCCCTTCCGGAACCCTCCCTCTGACCCTGTGACCCCTCCCCCAGCCCCTTCCGGAACCCTCCCTCTGACCCTGTGAACCCTCCCCCAGCCCCTTCCGGAACCCTCCCTCTGACCCTGTGAGCCCTCCCCCAGCCCCTTCCGGAACCCTCGCTCTGACCCTGTGACCCCTCCCCCAGCCCCTTCCGGAACCCTCCCTCTGACCCTGTGAGCCCTCCCCCAGCCCCTTCCTGAACCCTCCCTCTGACCCTGTGACCCCTCCCCCAGCCCCTTCCGGAACCCTCCCTCTGACCCTGTGAACCCTCCCCCAGCCCCTTCCGGAACCCTCCCTCTGACCCTGTGAACCCTCCCCCAGCCCCTTCCGGAACCCTCCCTCTGACCCTGTGAGCCGTCCCCCAGCCCCTTCCGGAACCCTCCCTCTGACCCTGTGAACCCTCCCCCAGCCCCTTCCGGAACCCTCCCTCTGACCCTGTGACCCCTCCCCCAGCCCCTTCCGGAACCCTCCCTCTGACCCTGTGACCCCTCCCCCAGCCCCTTCCGGAACCCTCCCTCTGACCCTGTGACCCCTCCCCCAGCCCCTTCCGGCACCCTCCCTCTGACCCTGTGAACCCTCCCCCAGCCCCTTCCGGAACCCTCCCTCTGACCCTGTGAGCCCTCCCCCAGCCCCTTCCGGAACCCTCCCTCTGACCCTGTGAACCCTCCCCCAGCCCCTTCCGGAACCCTCCCTCTGACCCTGTGAGCCCTCCCCCAGCCCCTTCCGGAACCCTCCCTCTGACCCTGTGAGCCCTCCCCAGCCCCTCGAGGAGGGGCTCACACCGAGATCAATCCATGATGACAGCACTTCATGGCCCGTCTCAAACACACAGGCCCACTCCCTGGTCTGGCCCAGGCTGGGGTGCTCAGGGCCTCTGTGTTGTTCACCTGCAAATCCCCAGCCCCGTTCTGTGTGTTCTGAGGCCCACCTGGGTCTTCTTTCTGTTGCTCCAGCTGGAGGCTTCTTGGGGTAGCTGCACTGTCCTTTCTGCAGGAAAGCTGGTTTTTTTGGTTTTTTTTTTTTTGAGAAAGAGTCACTTGGTCGCCCAGGCTGGAGTGCAGTGGTGCCATCTCAGCTCACTGCAACTTCCACACCCCAGGTTCAAGCGATTGTCCTGCCTCAGCCTCCCGAGTAGCTGGGACTACAGGCATGTGCCACCACGCCGGGCTCACTTTTGTATTTTTAGTAGAGATGGGGTTTCACCATGTTGGTCAGGCTGGTCTCAAACTCCTGACCTCAGGTGATCTGCCCACCTTGGCCTCCCAAAGTGCTGGGATTTACAGGCGTGAGCCACCTTGCCCGGCCAGGAAAGCTGTTCTGATGGAGAATGGCCCAGCTGGGCAGCTGCAGGGGCTAAGTGGAGTAAGCCACCTGCACTGTATGCCCGCACTGTGACCTCTGACGTTGTTTCACGCTGCAGAGGGTTGGCCATAGTGTCCCAAAGGCACCTCCCACACCACCTCTGGTACCCTGGGAACAACCTCGGCATCTCCCTGGAGGTGGGAGGACTGCTGGGGTCCGAGCCCAGGGCGGGTGTGGGTTTGCAGAGGGCCTGGGGTCCGTGCCGGTGCTGTGGCCTCAGCAGTTGGGTCCCAAGGTAGATTTTCAGCCTGAAGGCCAGGGTGGAAGATGGAAATGCCGGGGAAAGCCCCCGGCCCTGCCCTCCCGCCCCAGCCCTCCACTGCCTTGTTACCTGGAGCGCTTGGTGGTGGTGGGAGCCTCGTTCACCGTGTGCCAGCTGGGTTCCCAGCCCTGTTCTTGGTACTGCGGGTACACCGGCAGGCAGGAAAACCCAGGCTTCTCTCCACATGGTGTTTACGTCGTGGGGGGAGAGAGACTAGGGACGCACGAGTAGAGAAGATCCCTTTGGTTTATGTTAAGTGCAGCGGAGGAAACCACAGCACCCTGGGCTTGGGGATGTGGGCGTTGTTGGTCGTCACCGCGGCAGGGGATGCTCCGAGCATTCAGGACCCAGAGGCAGGGCTGCTAAACGCCTCCCACCCCAAATGCCGCTGTTGAGGCCTGGGCACCCATGTTACGGGGAGAGGTGGCTCCAGGGCGGTCAGTGAAGAGTTTGTGGTGTCGTCTCCATGGTGAGGAAGATGTGGAGACGGAACAGTCAAGGGCCCTTTAGAGGGAGGAGGAGGCCAGAGTGTGGGGAGGGCCGAGGTGGGAAGGGCAGAGTGTGGGGAGGGCCGAGGTGGGAAGGGCAGAGTGTGGGGAGGGCTGAGGTAGGAAGGGCAGAGTGTGGGGTGAGCCGAGGTGGGGAGGGCTGAGCCCCTAAGAAGGGGGCAGGGGAGAAGCCAGATGGTCCCGGGCTTCAGGGAGGAGAGAGCCAAGATGCCATCCGTGGGGACGTTGGAAAGGACAGATGCGATGTCCCCCTCCATCCTGAGTGCCGCCCCAGCTGCCCCACCCTGGCCCCACTCACTCAGTATCTCCGTCTGTCCTTCCCCCACAGACCTGTACTGTACCCTGGAGGTGGATTCCTTCGGCTATTTTGTCAGCAAAGCCAAAACCAGGGTGTTCCGGGACACAGCGGAGCCCAAGTGGGATGAGGTGAGTGGCAGGGGCTGGCATCTCTGTGGGGACCCCACCACCCCGTGCTCGTGGCTTGTCTGCTGGGGACGGCCAGCCCATTGGTTGGACCAGCTATGTCTGCACCCCCCTTTCTGCTCCCTGCTCCTCTGGCTTCTGATCGCGGTGTGTGTCTGGGTGTCAGACCCTGTGGTGTCAGCTCAGGCCCCCAGACTCCAGGGGTGATGGGAGGCCTCTGGGAGCTCCAGAAAATCTGACGTGTCCTTCGTGGGCCGTGCTTACTCCCTCCTCCTTGCAAAGCTGAGGCACGCACCTGCCGGAAAGCCAGGCCTCCCAGCTTCGGAGGTTCAGGGCCCTTTGTCCCATCTTTCCCCAGGAGTTTGAGATCGAGCTGGAGGGCTCCCAGTCCCTGAGGATCCTGTGCTATGAGAAGTGCTATGACAAGACCAAGGTCAACAAGGACAACAATGAGATCGTGGACAAGATCATGGGCAAAGGACAGATCCAGGTGAGGCCAGGGCGCCGGGGCGAGGCTGAGGGAGCCTCCAGGAGGTGGTTCCAGTTGAAAAGGAATTCTGGTCAAGGAGCCTGCTCTTTCGTGATTTTGGTTCCAAGCTGGTTGGAGGAAAGTTCCCAGGAGGTGGTTCTCCCCTCCCTGCTAGAGGTGGCTGCCTGTTGTGGCCCCGGAAGCCCAGGCGTGTGCGTGGCTCCTCAGGTGGGTCATCTGCGCTTCTGCAAGATGGAAACAACCAGCTTTGTTTTCACACGCCAGCTTTAGTCTATGGGTGGTTGTTTCCCGGAACGCCATGTTGAGAAGGACTCAGAGGCTGCGTCGGTGAACGGGAGGGAGGAATGCTGTGTGTGAGGAGCCGTGTCTGCCATTGACGGGGGACCGGAGTTAGGCACACGGACCAGGCGTTTGCTCTTCTGCCCGAAAGACTTAGGGTCCTGCTGGTTGGCTTGGGGGGAGGGGGGTCTCTGACTTGTTGTTAGGGTGGCCGGACCTTACTCAGCTGCGTTGGGAGTCTGTGGCTTCGGGTGGGGACTCTGGGTGTTAGTAGAGGCTGCACCTCGGGTTAAGGGTATTTATGCTTCTGGGTGCGGTGGCTCACGCCTGTAATCCCAGCACCTTGGGAGGCCGAGGTGGGTGGATCACGAGGTCAGGAGTTCGAGACCAGCCTGGCCAACATGGCGAAACCCCATCTCTACTAAAAATACAAAAATTAGCAGGTCGTGGTGGCGGGCGCCTGTAATCCCAGCTACTCAGTAGGCTGAGGCAGGAGAATCGCTTGAACCCAGGAGGTAGAGGTTGCAGTGAGCTGAGATCGCGCCTGGGTGATGGAGTCAGACCGTGTCTCCAAAAAAATAAAAATAAATAAAAACAGCATTTATGCCTCAACTGTGCTTTTGGCTCCCTATAAACATATATAGGGAAAAGGCCTCTGTGTGTGCAGCCTGTGTCTCTGAAACATTCTGCCAATTTTGAAGATGGCTGCTATTCACCAACCTATTAAGAGAAGTAGGCTTGGGAGCGGGAAAAGGCGTGACGTGGTGGAGCCGCTCACACTCCCGTCTGGTACCTCGTGTGGCCTCGTGCTGTGCCGCAAGTGGTCTGGTTTGGGGGTAGATTCTGTGACCATGAAATGAAGGGAGACGGTAACTGACCCGTACTGAGGTTGAGCCTCGGGCGTTGGGCGTGCTGAGCTTCTTGACAGTGGCCGCAGACGTGATCCAGGCACAGCTGGGCGCCGAGCTTCTTGACCGTGGCCCCGGACGTGATCCAGGCGCAGCTGGGCGCCGAGCTTCTTGACCGTGGCCCCGGACGTGATCCAGGCGCAGCTGGGCGCCGAGCTTCTTGACCGTGGCCCCGGAGGTGATCCAGGCGGCAGCTGGGCGCCGAGCTTCTTGACCGTGGCCCCGGACGTGATCCAGGCGCAGCTGGGCGCCGAGCTTCTTGACCGTGGCCCCGGACGTGATCCAGGCGCAGCTGGGCGCCGAGCTTCTTGACCGTGGCCCAAGAGGTGATCCAGGCGCAGGCTGCGATGGCTCCGTCTACAACAGGGAGCTGAACGATGCTTTTTAGCAGGAAGCATTTGTTCTCTGATGCATTGTCATGGCCACCGAGTTTGGTATCTGGCTCTTACCTGCAGGTCCTTGGTAGCATTGCCCCTGGGGAGCTGTGTGGGTCTCCCACTCGCTGCCCCATCTCAGGCTCCAGTGTTTGAACCAGGGGCCCCACGTGGAGGGGCCTGGCCTCTGCCGCATACGCCCCGTGTTCCTAAACACGTCTCTTTCCGATGCTGTGGGGTCTGCACCCTGCTTCTCAGTACTCGTCACTAGGGAGACAGGGCTGCCAGGCAACTGCCAGCCAGTCCTTCGTGATTTAGGAAATGGGCTCTAGAGATTCAGTCCCTGGGACCTGCTCTCTGTGGGGATAAGGGGAGGGAGCCCCATCTCCCTGTCCCTGGGCTGGGCTAGAGGGACAGGCACGGAAGGGTTCTGGGCTGGCCTGTGCAGCCCCAGGAGACGCCCAGGCAAGAGACGAGTGGTCGCCACGCCACACTCCCTGGGCCACTGGTGGCTGTGGAATAGAAGAGTTACAAGGATGTGCCGGGCAGCCAGCCCCGTGGGCACGGTGGGCCCCAGCCCCTCGAGAACTCAGCTCCCAAGGCCCGAGGGCACATTCCCCCACCTGGACTTCAGCCCCATTGCTTCCCTCCTTCTCACTCAGCTGCACAAGCCCCGGGGGAAACACACCATCAGTCACTGCAAGCCTCTTGGAGACAGGAGCAGATGGAGGCAGTGGGGGAGGGAGGAAGCCAGGTTATGTTTGGCAAAGCAGAAGGCAGAGTCTGGTAAGGAAAATGTTTCTGTGTTTAAGCTTCGAGGAATGTTAAATGCCTGGGAGTTGATATTAAAAGAAACATAAACCTTCCTGCTGCCAGCTGACCTGGGCCTGTGAGCGGACAGTTCAGAGCCAGAGTCCCCTGCAGGCCTTTGAAGTCCCCCAGCACTCAGCATGCCAAGGCCCGGCCCTGGCCCTCCGCTGCAGAACCATCTCACCAGCCTGCCTTTGGTGGGGGAGGCATGCCCCAGGGGCGGGCTGTGGCTTAGAAAGTCTCGCCCCGTGACTGCCCTCAGAGCCACCGTGGATGGCCAGGCTGGGTGACGAGTCCACACGGAGCTGTTCCCACGAACCCGGGCCCCACGGAGCCACGGAACGGTCTGTCCCCACAGCTTGTCTCTGCCTTCACTCCGGCCACACATCTAAGGAAGGGAGCTGGCACTAGCCTCTGGAATGCAGTCTTTCTGCCCGCCAGCAGGCGCTGAGGACATAGTCGGAGGTGGCTTTGAGATAGGGCCCAGCCCTCGGGGATATTCAGGGGGCCTGTAGGAAAGGCAGGAGGAGGAGGGCAGTCTCTGAGGCCCCCACTTCTCTCTAAGCCCCCTCCCAGCAGCCCATCCAGAGAAAGCAAGGGGCCCTACGGCCTAAGCGCAGGCATTTGCTGCTGTGATGAGGCCCCCACTCTGGGTCGCCTGATGGGGCAGTGGGGCAGGAGTCTCAGCGGCGGGGTGGGGTGGGGGAAGCATTTAGTGACAGACAGACGGCAGCATGCGTCACCAATGTGTGTCCAGCACTTGTGCTCCTGGAGGCCGCTTCCCAAATGCCATCTCCTCGTGTGATCCTTGTCGTGATCCTCCAGGGAGAATGACAGTCCCTCCTCCCCATCTTACAGATGAGGACACTGGGGTACTGAGGTTAAGTACCTTGGCCAAGGCATCTCTGCGTATGGTATGTGGGAAAGGCCATGTTCCCTCCTCTGTGCCATGTCCCCACGTCTCAGGCCTTTGTCAACGAATCCCCCAGCCCGGACAGAGGGCCGTGGCATGGCTAATGGCCTGGAGAAGCAGCTGAGGTGCTGCTTTATGGCATAAGGTGAGCGTCCTTTGTCTTGGAGTCCTCTGGGCAGGGGACACTTGTGCCTGGTGCCCCTGGGAGGAAGGAGAGGAGCACGTGCGGGAAAGAGCAGGAGGCCGAGGTGGGCTGATCACGAGGTCAGGAGTTCGAGACCAGCCTGGCCAACATGGCAAAACCCCTTTCCTACTAAAAATACAAAAATTAGCCAGGCGTGGTGGCACGCGCCCATAATCCCAGCACTTTGGGAGGCCGAGGCGGGCGGATTACAAGGTCGGGAGTTCAAGACCCGCCTGGCCAACATGGCGAAACCCTGTTTCTACTAAAAATACAAGAATTAGCTGGGTGTGGGGCCCACGCCTGTAATCCCAGCACTTTGGGAGGCCGAGGCGGGCGGATTAGGAGGTCGGGAGTTTGAGACTCGCCTGGCCAACATGGCGAAACCCCGTCTCTACTAGAAATATAAAAATTAGCCAGGGGTGGTCGTGCGTGCCTGTAATCCCAGCACTTCGGGAGGCCAGGGCGGGGGGATCACCTGAGGTCAGGAGTTCGAAACCAGCCTGGTCAACGTGGTGAAACCCTGTGTCTACTAAAAAAACAAAAATTAGCCAGGCGTGATGGCGGGCACCTGTAATCCCAGCTACTTGGGAGGCTGAGGGAGGAGAATCACTTGAACCTGGGAGGTGGAGGTTGTAGTGAGCTGAGATTGCTCCATTGCACTCCAGCCTGGACAAGACAGAATGAGATTCTGTCTGGGGAAAAAAAAGAAAAGAAAACAGCAGGAGGGGTACTTAGCATGCGTCTGTGAGGTCCCCAGCCCAGGAGGGGGTCCTGGCCTCCAGGGACCCACTGTCAGATTGGAAAGACGAGTATATTGGTCCATGTTCTCCAGTGAGAAGAATGCTAGATGTCAGCCACAATAGCCGTACACACATAAGCGAGCCCAGGACGAGCCCAGCACGGTGCTAAATGCTTCCATCTGCTGTCTCAGGAGATCTTCCCAGGACCCTGTGGGAGAGGAATATCATCACAGCTAGAAAGATGAGGAAGCTGGGGCTAAGGAGCCCGGACAAGGCCATGTGCCCAGGAGTGGGCCAGGGCGGGCAGCTGGCTGCAGAGCCCATTTCTAGATGTCCTGCTGCCTCCTGCTATAAGAAGACGGAAGATTGTCCTGCTGTAAGAAGACGGAAGATTGTCCTGCTGTAAGAAGACGGAAGATTGTCCTGCTGTAAGAAGACGGAAGATTGTCCTGCTGTAAGAAGACGGAAGATTGTCCTGCTGTAAGAAGATGGAAGATTGTCCTGCTATAAGAAGATGGAAGATTGTCCCGCAGGAATTCAGAGGCAGAAAGGTCACCATGGGCTGGAATTAGGGAGGCTTCAAGGAGGAGGTGGAACGAGAGCGATTTGGAAGCCCTGGGTTTTTTAATTCCAAAAGCAATGTTTGTATGAGAAAGAAAATTGCAGTAGAAGCAAAGAGACTTGAAACCTAATCAGAAACCATCCTTCCTCCGGCTCCTCCGAAGCAGCCAGTTTATTCTGTGCCTTTTCCCTTCTTGAGGTATACACATTTTTATGTAGATTTAATCAGGGCCTGTTTTGTCTGTTTTTCTGTTTTCATGGATTATTATAAACCTCCTTTTCTCTAGAGCTGTATGGAGTCTTCTTAAGCACCTTTTTGGATACTTTGTTAAAAGTACTTTATATTCTTTGTAGAAATCTTGGTATAGAGCGGCCAGCGCAATTGCTATGCTAAGGCTCTGTGTTATTCCAGCAAGGTGCGCAGGCTCCGCTTCCGCAGAAGGGAGTAGGGTGGGAGTTCTGGAGGACAGACCCGCCTGGCAGGGAGGCACGAATGTGAAGGGAGGGTCCCAGGAAAGTCAGGAGCCTCAGCAGGGGTGGCGGGGAGCTGCAAGCAAGGCCAGTAGAAGGAATGAATAAAAGGAGGGGATTCCTGGGGGTTTGGCCGGAAGAGGTATTTTTTTTTTTTTTGAGATGGGGTCTTGCTGTGCTGCCCAGGCTGGAGTGCAATGGCGCAATCTTGGCTCACTGCAACCTCTGCCTCCCAGGTTCACGCCATTCTCCTGTCCCAGCCTCCCGAGTAGCTGGGATTACAGGCGCCCACCACCATGCCCAGCTGATTTTTATTAGTAGTAGTAGAGACAGGGTTTCACCATGTTGACCAGGCTGGTCTCAAACTCCTGAGCTCAGGTGATCTGTCCACCTCAGCCTCCCAAAGTGCTGGGATTACAGGCCTGAGCCACGGCACCCGGCCTGGAATAAATCTTAGAGGGCGTTTAATCCAATCCTGTTTTCCGGAGAGAAGGAAATGGACACCAGCAAGGGTGAGCGAGGCAGCCGCGGTCACAGAGCTTGTTAGTGGGTGAACAAGGGCCCCAGACTCAGGGACCCCATCCAGGTCCGCTTAGCTGGGAGCCCCCCCTCCACCGGCTCTTGCCCCTGCCCCCGGCGTAGTCTGCCCTGGCTCCTGGTCCCAGGGGACTCCACTGTGTTTATCCTACTCTATTTCCAGCCTTGCCGCTCCAGCTGCAACCTACCCGCTAGCTGATTAGCATATTCCCAGGGTCCGGCCCTTCTTGGCGGGCTGGGCCTGAGGAGAGCGCTTTCCCTTGGGGCCCCACAGCTCAGTTTCTGCCAGCGTCCCCAGACTGGAGAAGGGCCTGAGACCAAGAAGCTACTTAAACCTGAGGGGCCCTCTGCACCCCCTGCCCGCCCCCCGGCCCTGCGTCATTCCCTCGCTCACCGCAGGCTGGGGACAGCCCCCACCCCACAGTCCACCTCTGCTCCCTGTGCCTGGGAGGCAGCTCCACTTCCCCACGTGCCTGCCAGGGCAGCCCCTCCCTGGGCACAGCAGCGCTGAAGACCCTGTGGTGGGAGGGGCAGGTTCCAGGCCAGGAAGGGAGTGTGAGCCACCGCGTCCGGCCTTTATTCTTTTTAAAGAAAAAATAGTGGTAGAAGCCAGGCATAGTAGCTCACGTGGTGTAGCTGTGGACTACTTGGGAGGCTAAGGAGGCTAGAGTGAGCTAAGGATTGCGCTACTGTACTCCAGCCTGGGTGACAGAGCAAGAGTCTATCTCCACTGAAAAAAATAAAAAATAAAAGATTGTAGTGAAATATACATAACATAAAGTTACCATTTTAATAAATTTTAGGGGCCGGGCGCGGTGGCTCACGCCTGTAATCCCAGCACTTTGGGAGGCCGAGGTAGATGGATCACCTGAGGTCAGGAGTTCAAGACCAGCCTGGCCAACATGGTGAGACCCCATCTCTACAAAGATTAAAAAAAATTAGCCGGGCGTGGTGGTGCACGCCTGTAGTCCCAGCTATTCGGGACACTGAGGCTGGAGAATTGCTTGAACCTGGGAGGCAGAGGTTGCAGTGAGCCAAGATCATGCCACTGCACTCCAGCCTGGGCAATAGAGTGAGACTCCATCTCAAAAAATAATAATTTTTGGGTGCACAGCTCCGTGGCCATAGGTGGATTTGGTGCTGTGCAGCCGTTGCCAGTGTGCATATCCAGAACTTGTTGGCCCTCCCCAGCCGAAACCCCATCCCCATTAAATCATAACTCCCCACTCCTGCACCCTTAGCCTCCAGTAACCACCTGCCTGCTTTCTGTCTGTACGAATTTGTCCAGTCTGGGAACCTTACGTAGGTGGAATCAGACAGCATTTGTCCTCCTCATGTCCTTGAGCTTCACCCATATGCCGTTGTGTGTCTGAATTTCCTCCCTTTCTGAGGCTGGATACAATTTCCCTGGATGTAGATGCCACGTCTCTTTATCTGCCCGTCCGTCCGTGGATGTAGGTGCCACGTCTGTTTATCCGTCTGTGGATATAGGTGCCACATCTGTTTATCCATCCATCCGTCCGTGAATGTAGGTGCCATGTCTGTTTATCCATCCATCCATCCGTGGATGTAGGTGCCACGTCTATTTATCCATCCATCTGTGGATGTAGGTGCCACGTCTGTTTGTCCTTCTGTCTGTCCGTGGATGTAGGTGCCACGTCTCTTCGTCCATCCATCCGTCTGTGGACGTAGGTGCCATGTCTGTTTACCCATCCATCCGTCCATGGATGTAGGTGCCACATCTGTTTATCCATCCGTCCGTGGATGTAGGTGCCATATCTGTTTGTCCACCCACCCGTGGATGTAGCTGCCACGTCTGTTTATCCGCCTGTCCATCTGTGGATGTAGCTGCCATGTCTATTTATCCATCCGTCCGTGGATGTAGGTGCCACGTCTGTTTATCCATCCGTTCGTGGATGTAGGTGCCACGTCTGTTTATTCATCCGTTTGTGGATGTAGCTGCCACGTCTGTTTATCCATCCATCCGCGGATGTAGGTGCCACGTCTGTTTATCCATCCATTCATGGATGTAGGTGCCATGTCTGTTTATCCGTCCGTCCGTGGATGTAGGTGCCATGTCTGTTTATCCGTCTGTCCGTCCGTCCATCCGTGCACATTTGGGTTGTTTCCACCCAAAACGCTCTTGCCTTTCGTTGAGAAAAAGAACCTTGTCCCTGAGGATGGAGACAGCACAGCCTCCTTCTCTCCAGACCCAAGCTCTGTCCCCCACCTGCCTCCCAGCTGTAATAGATGAGCAGGACCCGTGACCCTAGGGCATGACTGGTCACTATTAGTCTCCTGTAGTTGAAGCACACAGTTGGGCCCCCTGCCTCGGCCTTCTCTCCCCCTCCCGGCCAAGTGTCCCTGCCCCTTGACCCCTTCACCCTTCTTCCTGGGTCAGCTCTTTCCTCCCCTGGTCAGTGGTTTAGGTGCATCGAATGCAGACGCAGTCACCCTGAGGCCGCGGGAACAACCTCTGGTCCCTTGACTTCTTGGCATCTCAGTTTCTTCTTTTATTTATTTACTTATTTATATTTATTTGAGATGGAGTCTCTCTCTGTCGCCCAGGCTGAGTGTAATGGCGCAGTCTTGGCTCACTGCAACCTCCGTCTCCCGGGTTCAAGTGATTCTCCTGTCTCAGTCTCCTGGTTAGCTGGGATTAAAGGCGCCCGCCACCATGCCCAGCTAATTTTCGTATTTTTAGTAGAGACGGGGTTTTGCCATGTTGGCCAGGCTGGTCTCGAACTCCTGACCTTGTGATCCACCCGCCTCAGCCTCCCAAAGTGCTGGGATGACAGGCGTGAGCCACCGCACCCGGCCAAGTTTCTTTATTGATTCAGTGGGGGTAACTATTCCTACCCCACCTTCAGCACTGGCTTAAAGGATCTCACATACCTGGAAGAGCCAGTCGGTGCTGTGACGTGTGCGTCCACGCTTTCACCTGTTCACTCACTTGTTTCTGTTTACGATACATCCTCTGAATGGCAGGCCCTGGGCTGTGGGTACAAAGAATGACCAGGACCTCACCGTCTGGTAAAGAAAACAAGAGAACTTAGGCCAGGCACGGTGGTTCATGCCTGTAATCCCAGCACTTTAGGAGGCCGAGGCGGGCGGATCATGAGGTCAGGAGTTCGAGACCAGCCTGGCCAACATGGTGAAACGCCGTCTCTACTAAAAATAGAAAAATCAGCCGGGCGTGATGGTGCGCTCCTGTAATCCCAGCTACTCGGGAGGCTGAGGCAGGAGAATGGTGTGAACCAGGACCCAGGAGGTGGAGGTTGCGGTGAGCCGAGATTGCGCCATTACACTCCAGCCTGGGCTACAGAGCGAGACTCTGTCTCAAAAAAAGGAAAACGAGAACTTGGATCGTTAGCCAGTGTTGCCGGGGTTTTGAGGCCAGACAGATCTTGCGGGGCTGAGTCTAGCTTTCTCCATCGTTAGTTGGGAGAACAGAGCGAGTATCTTTGCCTCTGAGCCTCAGCTTCCTGACCTGTCAGATGGGCTGTAAGAGGACTGAATGTGAGGGTCCATGAAACCCTGGACCCGGGGCCTGGCATGGAGTCAGTACGTGGTTTGCCCTAAGCTGGCGGGTTCAGGCACCCTGTCCCCCACCCCCTTCCAGTGGTTCTGGGTGTCACTTGTCCAGCAGCCCCCTCCTAAAGGCTGTCACCTATAAGTGGTCCCCTGGGTCGGGGCCTTTGGCTGGCCGAGGCAGCATTATTTTCTTAAGCTGATGGGGTCAGACTGGCTTTGCTGAACCAACCTCATAGCAGGGGCGGGGAAGTCAAGGCTGGGGCCCTCAATGCCGGCTGGCCCGAGGTTTCCCTGCCATGACCCAGCACGGCAGCTCTGAGCTTGGCCTGGTGTGGTCGGAAACAAGGGGCCTTTGTCAGCGGCTGGGGAGCAGCTTCTGGTTTCAATTACTCTGGAGAGCACGAGGAAGCTTGCAGAGAACGTGGGGCCGGAGCCCGCCAGGGCAGGAGTCAAGGGCTCCCCTGCCCCACTTCCCTCCCTCTGACCCCCAAGGGGTGTCTTGTCCCCATTCGACCCTGCCTGAGGGTCCTGCGCGTGCGTCCTGGGGGCCCTGGGTTGTGAGCCCAGAGCCCCTTCCAGCTCCGGCCCCCTCTCGTTCTTCATAGTGGTACTGGGACCCCTCCCAGGAAGATGATCGACGGCCGGTAACGTGGGTCCTCAGTGCTTCCCCGTTCCAGGCCTCACGCGTGGGCCACACTGACCACAGCCGGGCCCCTGGCCCTGAGGGAGGCCTTGATTCAACTGGGAAGGAACACAGGCCTTTCCCTTTGGTTCCATCTCTCCCGTCCCCAACCCCTGCCCTGGCACTCACAGCCCCCATAGCTCCCTGTCGTGGGACACCGGAGTGACCTCTCCCTGGAAGATCAGCCCGCGTCGGCGCCCGCCAAGGCCAGGAGTGCATGTCAGGCCCCGCCTCGGCTCCTGGCTTAGGAGTTCCGCCTCCCTGCTGCTTGCCACCCTCACAGCTGGCCCACGTGGGGCTCTTCCCTCTGCCGCCACCCCCACCCCTGTGCCAGTTCCCCAGGCACATAGGGACCGTGGAGGCTGAGCCCCAGGCCTGGTTCTACTTCCTGCTGACTCTCCACTTCCTCCCAGGGCCCCGTGACTGCAGCCATTGTCCTGCTCTGGCCCTGCCCACCCCAGCTGTTTCGGGCACATTTGTTCTCCAGCCCAGACTCCCACCTGCTGTCCCTCTTCAAGGCAGGTCTAGACGCCTGGTTCTCCTTGGAGAGTGGGCAGCAGAGACTGTCCTGGGTGGGGGAAGTCGGGGGAGGGTCCCTCGAGAGTGCCTGCCCTGCCGTCGAAAGCTTTTCCAAACGTGGGGCACGAACCTCTCTCGTCAGCCCTGCTCAGCTGCCTCCATCGCCCAGGTGTTCCTGATTTTGGGAGCCTGGACTCTGCCCAGTGGATTCTGGGCAGGAAGCATCCAGCAGGAAGCAGATGGAGGTGTGAGTCGGCTCCCCCCGCTCCCCTCCACCCCTGGGAAGTGCCGCCTCAGCAGGCAGGCTTGGCGCCCGCTCCCCCTGACCCGCCTCTGAAGGGTGGGCACCATGCAGAGAAGCCGGTCCAGACAGGACCTCAGGAGCCGATGCAGTCAGGCCCTGAGAACATCCAGCCTCCCGACAGACCAAAAAAAGGTGTTCTCAGCTCTGGGTGCCGGGCTCCCAGACTCAGAGGCACGGGACCTGGGTTTGATCTTAGCCGGCCAACCTCGGGTGACCCTTCAGAGAGTGTCCTCTCGGGTCCGTGGCATTCAGCGAACTCGCCGAGGCGAAAGCCGCAGACATAGATTCCTCCCCGTGAGCCGCTAACCTCCCTGCTGGCGGAGGCTGCTGCTTCCTCCTAGGAATCCAAAGGATCAGCTCCAGGGTTGTCCCACTTTCCGTGTTTTCTGAAAGCTTCAAGAGAAGGATGCCACAGAAGGGTTGCCAGAGAATTTCTTGAGTTAGGGCTGAGGCTGCAGATGAATGCTGAGCGGGGGTCACCTTTAGGGTGGGCTCTGCTGGCCTCCCTCAAGCCTGCGGCCACCGCAGACTCACAGCAGCCCCTCGTGGCCAGCCCCGCCCTTGCCGTGGCCTGGGGGCGTGGACATTGGTGGTGCTGGGCGAGGGTCTAAGCCCCAGTGTAGCCTGTAGCTTTGGGCTGGGGCAGGGAGGGATGGGCACACCGTGTTCACGCCCTCGGAGGCAAGTGCTGAGCTGCCCTGGCTTCAGGAAAGACCCTAGCGCGGCTGGAGACGCAAGATGACCCAGACACACCCGCCTGACCCACTAGACAGGTGCTGTCCCCTCTCGAGGCTGCCAGGGCGAACCCACAGCCACTGAGCAAAAGCCCTGAGTTTCCCAAAGGAGGGAGAGAAGCAGAGACACGACTGGAGCTGCAGGTTCAGCGTCTGACCCAGAGGTGTCCTTACAAAGCCCCTAATCTCTCAGACCCCCACGTCCCCCACCCCGAGGGAGAGCGAGGCCTTCGGGAGAACTGCCTCTAGGAGCTGCTGGGAACCTAAGGTTTGAGCTGTAGATGCCTGAAAGGAGGGCGGGGCGCTGAGGTGTGCCTCAGATTCTGCCTGTGGGGCGTGGGAATTCCGGGGAGGGACGTGAGCCCCAAGGCAGGCGAGGGGTGGTGGAAAAGCAGGTGTGAGCCAGTGGGCCCCACGTCCCCTCTTCAGCCAGGGCGCCTGCTCTCTCTGCTTCTGCTTTTATCCGACGAGGTGGGCAGGGAGACGTCGGCATAAAATTTCATTTGGAAAAAACGGCAGGGGTGCGTCCTCAGCAGAAAAGAAATCTCACCGGAGACCATGTGTCTGTTCCGAGCTCCTGATTTGACAGCTGTGGAAACTGAACCCAGAGAAAAACACAGCCGTTGAGTCCACAGGTCCCTGGCTCCCAGGGCTTTGCTTCTGGCCACCATGAGCTCGGAGCTTGGGTGGAAGGGAGGTGTTCGGGAATCCAGAATGAAGAAAGAGCAGGGAGGCTCGGCGACCCCATCCCACCTTCAGGCCTCAGCCCCTCCTGCCTCAGGCTGCAATTTATGGCTGTGCTGGGAGACCCGGCCACACCCCCTCCTTCCCGGGAGGAGGAGCAGGCAAGCAGCCCAGGGGGGCTCCAGCGGTAGGGACAGCATACTGAGGGGCCACGCCCTGCCCACTCTGTCCCTGGGTGAGTTTTGTTCTAGATAAGCAAGATGTTCCCAAAGGCTCAAGTGCATTTTTCACCCTTTTCCATGACCAAATGTGCTGTGAGAATCGCTAGGGTTTGCCAGGGACGGGCTGTCGGGACACTTCTCCTGCAGCAGACAAGCTCTTGGGCTGTTTCAGCCTCTCCTCCGTACCTAGAACCACCGAGCACCCTGGCGACACCAGCCTGACGTGGCCAGAGAGAGGCTGGAGGTCAGGCAGAGGGAGGCTGGAGCTGTGTGAGAAGCAGCACGTACTCGGGACTGCCCTATGAGCCGGCACAGGCCTTTGGGGAGTTGGGAGGACAGCAGGTTACCTTGGGCAGGCCTAGGTCTGGGCCGTAGAGCAACTGATTTCATCCTGACTGCCTTCTTCCTTACACTGTGCCCATCTTCAACCTTGAGCCCACCCTGGACCCCTCTCCCAGCCCCACCTGGATGGATGGGTGGGTGGGTGGATGGATGGATGGATGGATGGAAGGATGGGTGGGTGGGTGGATGGATGGGTGGATGGATGGATGGATGGGTGGATGGATGGAAGGAAGGAAGGATGGAAGGAAGGAAGGATGGAAGGAAGGAAAGAAAGAAACAAACATAGCTCCTAGGGTCTAATCTGCCATTGGCTGCTGGGTGACTCCTGTCCCCAGGCTGAATGCAGGCTCTGAACATTGCAAATACCCAGAGGTATCCGATGGGTGGGGAGAAAAACCTAGAGTGAGTCTCAGTGTCTCATTCTGGGAAGACATTTGGCCTTCCAGTCCGCAGGTTTTGGTTAGGGTCGGTACAGGAAATGGTCAGAACACACAGTAAGAATGCAGTGACCACAGAGCCACCGAGTTGGGGGACACTCCCGTCCCCACTCCCCCACAGCTGTCCCCGGAACGTGCCATCCTCCCGCCCAACTCGCACGCCCTGTGTGGGCGCTGGGCACCCCGGGCTCCCATGCTCGGCCTGCTTGTCTCTCTCTCATCCTGGAGCCTGCACCTGTCTTTGGGCAGGAGCCACTGGCAGGCTCTCTGCAGCCCCCAAAGCCTCGGGTCCGCCCTGCTCTCCTCCAGCACCTTCTTGCCCCCCAGCCTCGGGTCCGCCCTGCTCTCCTCCAGCACCTTCTTGTCCCCCAGCTCTGGTCCTCTGATGCCCAGCCGGTGCCCTGATCCTCTGGTGCTGAGAGAGGGAGTGTTCTTGGCAGACCTGAGCCACATCCCCTCGGTCCCCATCCTCAGCTGGGTGCCAGGCTCCTCCTGGGCTCTGGACTCTCTGGGCGGCCTCTTGGGGCTCTCCCCGCCCCAACTGGCTCCCAGGCTATCCCCACTGGGGCGCCTGTGGCCTTGGTCTAGCTGGCTGCTCAGAAACCCCCTCTCCTGGAGTCATTTGCGCTAGCGGATAGGACGAGGAATCGGGGTTCAAGTGTGGGCTGGGGGAGAGGAGCGTCGTTCTGGTGGGAAAAAGGAGGTCACTCCAGGAAAGCGGCAGCTGCATTTCTAGGTTCTGAGGCAGAACCTTCCTCCTGGTGCTCACAGGCTGGAGGATTTGCCTGGAAGCCGTCCCCACCCCCAGCTGTCACCGAGGCAGCCCCACTGCAGCCTTTGCCCCTCCCGCTCGCACAGGGCAGGATGTGACCTTTTTTCCTCGTTGATGCCGCCACTGAACACCTTAACCCGATTTTACCTCAGTCACAGCTGTGCTGGGTGGCATGACCCCCTCCCTAGGTGTAATGCGGGGTCCCACCCACGTCTCCCCGGGGACAGCCCCTCTCACTCCCCTTGCAGAGAGCCTGGGGAGGGGCTGAGGGAGGATGGGATGGTCCACTAGGAATGTTTTTAATTCCAAAGGCAGTGACATCTGTTCGTGGGGGCCTTACCACCAGGCTCTGTTTATCCAGCCGGGGGAGTCTTGCAGGTCGTCTGAGGAGGGCTCTGGCAGGTGTGGGGGATGGAAGGGGTGGGGGGAGCAGGTGTGGGGGATGGAAGGGGTGGGGGGAGCAGGTGTGGGGGATGGAAGGGGTGGGGGGAGCAGGTGGGGGTAGAAAGGGTGGGGGGAGCAGGTGTGGGGGATGGAAGGGGTGGGGGGAGCAGGTGTGGGGGATGGAAGGGGTGGGGGAACAGGTGTGGGGGATGGAAGGGGTGGGGGGAGCAGGTGTAGGGGATGGAAGGGGTGGGGGAGCAGGTGTGGGGGATGGAAGGGGTGGGGGAGCAGGTGTAGGGGGTGGAAGGGGTGGGGGGGAGCAGGTTTAGGGGATGGAAGGAGTGAGGGAGGAAGGAGAGTGGCCCCTTCCCAGGTGGTTGGGATAGCCTGAGCTGAACCCAGCAGAGATGAGGAGGGGTCCGTGGTGGGCTGCAGCGACTAGAATTCAGACTTCTGCTTTTGCTGGGGACATCTGTCTTGCACAGATCTTCTTCCACCCAAGACCATTGACTCCAGGAAGCAATGAGTCGGGCTTGGGGGAGAGAAGGCAAGTCTGCGCTGTCCCCAGAGGAAGCCCCCAGTCCATAGGGAGGAAGGGAAAGATGAGCGTCTCAGGGGAAGACTCCCAACTCGGCTACCCATCTGCGAAGGCACTTATGTCACCATGGAGACCAGCTGGCCATCGTTCATCCAGTCCGAGCTTGCTTTACCTAGACAAGTATTGAGCCTGTGGTACCTAAGACAGATGAGTGCCGGGCCTTGGGAACGGGATTCACACGGCCCCCTTCTCCCCCACACCCGGCGGCAGGGAGGGGCGTGCATTCTCGCAGTCTGCACCCTGTGGCCTGGGACCCAGCCCGAGGGAAGGGGACCATAGGCCAGTGAGGGGCCGATTCTGAAGTTAAGTCACGGCACCAGGAGCACTGTGGCGCAAACGTGGAGAGCAGTTATAATGGCATCCTACCAGCCAGTTACATGACAGCCATTGCACGTTTGCTGGAGGGAGGTAGAGTAAAGCTGGGACCCAGTGAGGGTGGATGGCCTTTCCCTACAGCCCCGAGGGCCCCACGCTGACCCCTCTCCTCCAGGAAGCCTTCCCCAGTTGCCTCCAGCTGGAAATTGTATCTCTCGATGTTCGTGGCATTTTGTCTGTCCTGTTCTGAGGCCGTAATATGGGATTTTGTGCGGGTTTTGTCCATCTGGGCGTGGTGCCTAGTAGGTGCACAAGTGACCCGTGCCAAATGCACAAATGCTTGTCTGCCTCCTGTTGATGGACATCTCTGCTTTCTTGGCTGCCCCTTTGTCAAGCACTGACTTTTGATTCGTCTCTGTGATGCCTTAACCCCCACCCCAGGGTCGGGCACGCAGCCAGGCCCTCAGTCACTACCTCTAGAGTGACATGAGTGGGGCCAGGTGCAGTGGTTCATGCCTGTAAACCCAGCACTGTGGGAGGCTGAGGTCAGGAGTTTGAGACCAGCCTGGCCAGCATGGTGAAACCTCGTCTCTGCGAAAAATACAAAAATTAGCCGGGCGTGGTGGTGGGTGTGTGTAGTCCCATCTACTCAAGGGGCTGAGGCAGGAGAGTTGCTTGAGCTGGGGAGGCGGAGGCTGCAGTGAGCCAAGATTGCACCACTGCACTCCAGCCTGGGCAACAGAGCAAGACACTGCCTCAAAAAAAAAAAAAAAAAAATGACATGAGTGGGACCAAGCAGTGGGGCCTGAGGAGTGAGCAGAGCCTTCCTGGAGGAGATGGCTTTGTGGCTGTGTGAAGGGGCTGTCTGGGTCCTCCTGGAGCCCTGGAAGGGGCAGGCGAAGGAGGGGTGGAGAAGGGTGACTGAGGCCTCAGTTAGGGGACACAGGCATGTTCCTACCTCCGTCCGTCTCTCCACCTCCCCCTCAGGCGGTGCTGGTGAGGCTGTTGTGGCTCAGCCCCCACTTAGCAGCTCAGGTTTGAGGAAGTTCCGTGTGCACCGTCCAGGGGTGCGTGTGACGTGTGAGCCAGGAAGAAGTGGAGCTGGTCTGGCCGCCCCTGCAGGGACAGTGAAGACTGAGGCCCGGTTCTAGCCCAGGCAGGACGCCCCAAGGCCCCCCTCCACCAGCCAGGTGGAAGATAGTCCAGGGCCAGATCCTGCCACACTAGGGCATCACAGTGAGTGACAGGGGTGTGGGCTTTGGAGTTAGCCAGACCTCCGTTTGTGTTCCAGCTTGTCCTGGCCTTGGACACGTAGCTCAGCTTGTCAGAGCCCTTCGTTTCCTCAGAGGTAAAGCGGGGATGCTGGTACTGACTTCATACAGTTGGGAGGGGTAAGTGACTTAATCCATGATGCCTGGTCCCTGCCAGCCTTCCACGAAGGACAGCTCTGACTACGGCTGTCTCTGCAGGGAAGCCACCTATTCCTCAAAAACACCAAGGCCTCTGAGGAGAAATCCCGACACCTGCCTGGCTGGTGACGCCGGATGCCGAGGGCTCGTCTCTGGGCCCCGACCCACCTGCCTTGGGGTCAACCAAGAAATGTCCTGACCCAGCTCTTTTTCCTGAATCCAAAGCATCATCCATGTTTGAGTAAGGCACAGTGCTTGTGAGCACCAAGGGCTTTGGAGGGACCTCCCCATCCTCACTTGGCACTGTGTAACCCTGGCAAGAACTGGACCTCCTGACCCCCTGTCCTCACCTCTCTAGAACAGGGCAGTAACACCAACATGACAAGAATGTGAGGCTCACATGCAGTCGGGCGTTTGAAAGACCTGGTTCGCGGTTGCCACGGTGCAAATACTGGTTTCCTTTCTGTGCCGTGCTGGGGTCTGCAGAGGTCCGAGGCCCCAGACACCCCTGGGTTTTGCATAGTTAAACATTTGGGATTCAGCCTTTCTCTTTTCTCTGAATACCGTACTCTAACTTGCACTGTTACCTTGAGACGTAATTTGTGTCCTAGTCTCTGCGGTTAGAAAGTTCACTAAATAAATTGAAGGTCAAGAACAAGTTCTTCTCTCTCTCAAGGCGCCCAGCACGGACACGGGTGGTTGCCCGTGGCGTCCTCTGCGCCCAGCACGGACGCGGGTGGTTGCCCGTGGCGTCCTCTGCGCCCAGCACGGACGCGGGTGGTTGCCCGTGGCGTCCTCTGCCCCTGGCAGCGGAAACCTTTTTTGGTGAGGTGCAAAGGGCCATGGTTCAAAGTGACCCCTCAAGAGGCATCTCTGGCTGGACGTGTGACCCGCGTCGTTTCGGGCTTTTGCTCCTGTCCCTGAGCAGATCAGTGACCCGATTCCCACTGGGATTCCCACACTAGGGGTCTCCTTTATCCTTACATTTCTCACCTGAGGAGGCTTCTGAGTGCCGGTCCACAAGGGTCTGGCCGGGTCACCAAGCTGGCTCTGAGGAAGGTGCCTGGGGCAGAAGTTGGGGGTGGGGAAGTGCGACCCCAGGGCAGTCAGAGTCTTTTGCCCGGGGAGGAGGGCAGCTGTTTGTGGCCAAAATGCAGCCCCCGCCTGGCCCCCGGCCCCTCCGCTTGGCCCCTGGAGCAGCCCGGTGGGCAACACGGGGACCCAGCAGGGAGGGACTGGGGTGTGGGGCTGGTGTAAACTTTATTGCGAGGGAGGGCGGCGGGGTCGGGGAGGAGCAGCGCCCTTGCCAGGGATGAAACCCGGGGTTGGGGCTTGGAGGGGCGGCCCTGGGCCTGGGAGGCGGCGCTCAGCCTGGGCTGCAGCCTCGCGGAGGGCGGGGAAGGAGGGATGCGGAGGAGGGAGGAGGGAGGAGGGACGCGGACGGAGGGAGGGAGGGAGGGGAGCGCGGGGAGGGAGGGAGGGAGGGAGGCGAGCGCGGGGAAAGCCGGCGGGACTAGGGAACTAGCGGGACTGGCAGCCGGGACTGAGCGCTCCACAGGCGCCTTCTCTCCAGCGCCGCGTCCCGTCCCCCCCGGCATGACCGACGTCCTGCCCCAGCCCGACTGCAGCCCGAAGGCGGGGCGCGAACCCCTGGCGCTGGAGGAGTCGGGGAGCAAGCGCCCCCCCAACACCGGCGCCCGGCTCTGGGGCCGCGTGCGCAACAAGCTGCTCCGAAACAAGGTGCCCGCGGGGGCTGGAGGTTCCGGGGGGTGGGGGCTCGGGGGCGCTGCGGGGCTCGGGGGGCTGCGGGGGCTGCGGGGGCTGATGGGGTCCCGCTCCCGCCCCCTCCGTGGAGTCCCGGGACAGAGCTGGGGTCTGTGCGCGTCCCTCTAAGTGGCTTGAACTTGATGGCGAACGCTGGGGCCGCCCCCACCCGGACCCTGGCGCTCGGGCATCTGCCCCTGCCTCGGGAGAAGGGAGGTTTCTTCTCGGCAGGTGGACCCTGCTTTCCACTCCGGGAGTGCAAACAGCGCACGGGGAGACGCCTGCCTCTGGGTCTATGTCTTGCCGCCCTGTTCAGCCTCTACCTGATCCCTGCATCCAGCGGGCCTTGCTGGCTGCCCCTTTGCTGAGGGGCGCCGACCGCAGCACCGTCTGCCGTGTGAGGTTTCTCTGTGCAGGATT
The DNA here is from genome assembly GCF_000001405.40 of Homo sapiens. Taxonomy (NCBI): domain Eukaryota; kingdom Metazoa; phylum Chordata; class Mammalia; order Primates; family Hominidae; genus Homo; species Homo sapiens. Next base: position 1,031,153 of record NC_000017.11, on the reverse strand, counting down.
GTGGGGAGGGGAGATGCTGCCGGGTCTGGGGGCTCGAGGCTTCCCTTCAGGGACCACCCATCTGACTGTGGGCCCAGTGCCCGCCGGGCACCAGGCGTTCCGTCCATGTGCCAGGGCAGACCGCCGGTGCCCCTGCAGCCCCAGACCTGAGTTGGGATTAAAATCTGAGATAGAAGCCGACTGTCCTGCAGCTGGGCAGGCTGCCTCGGGGCTGGCTTGGGGCCCTGGCATCAGGCACGTGAGGAAGAGCCAGACCCAGCGCCCAGCGCACAGGAAGTGCTCGATAACTCTGCAGATCAAATCAACTGTCCGAGTTAGCTGTCTCAGAGTGCCAGTCCGGCTGGCCAGGGCTGGGCCCATCCATCAAGAGAGCAACAAGGGAGGCCTTGGCCAGTCCGTGGTGGGGATCTGCAGCTCCTCCTGAGGCTCACAGGACCTCTCTGCAGGCTCTTACTGCCAGCCGGCATTGAGGCTCCTGGCATCAGCCAGGACGAAGTGATCTTGGGCTCACTGGCCCCTCGTTTTGTTTCAGCTCCTGCCATGGGGCATACTTGACCTCCCAGAGGTGACATCAGCCCTGGAAAGTGCTGGGCAGGGCAGCAACTTGAGCTGTACTGCACTGGCCCCTGTGTCACCTTCAGCCTCCCTGGGGACTGGGCTAGCAGAGCCCTGCTGGCCCCAGCTGCTGCCAGAGCCCCTCTGTGCTGAGGCAGCTGTCTGTGCCCGGCAGCGTGGACTCATCCCCTCCCCAGCCCCTGCTGAGGCCAGCAGGCACCAGCCCAGAGCTCACCATCCATCCCCAAACGTCAGGGTTGGCAAGAAACTGACCTGGCAGGTTCCGGGTCCAGCGCCAGCCAAACAGGGCGCTTCCAGTTTACCTGCCCCTTTGAGGAGGTGCCTGGTGGGCAGGGGGCAACTTTTAAACCTGAGGTCCCAGACTTTCAGTTCTTTCCCTATGCATTTGTGGCCGGCAGAACTGAGAAGCCCCTTCAAGAATTCCTTAGCTGGGTTTGCCTCTGGCAGTGCCTGGTGGCTCCGTGTCTGATGGGGATCTCTGGGCAGGGGTGGTGGCCAGGCAGACGCCGGGCTATTGAGCTGCTGAGCAGTTGGCGTCAGTGCAGCTCAGGGTGGCCCCGGCCCTGGGCTGCTCTGTGTGACGAGCGATTCCATCCCCTAACGTGTGCTGTGTGCCACAGTGTGTCCGTGTCGTGGACGCAGGGGTCAGCGCTGTGGCGGACGGAGGGACGTCTGCCACAGTGTGTCCGTGTCGTGGACGCAGGGGTCAGCGCTGTGGTGGACGGAGGGACGTCTGCCACAGTGTGTCCGTGTCGTGGACACGGGTCAGCGCTGTGGTGGACGGAGGGACGTCTGCCCTGTGCTTCCCACCTCACTGTGCGCAGGCCAGCGGGTGAGCAGCAGAGTCAAAGGGCCAGGCCTCTTGCTTTCTATCCTCAGCCACATTAACCTGGCATTTTCCTGCAGGAGCTTCACAGTTGGGCCGAGGGGCTGGGACTAGGCAGTTTCGTTTCGGTGGGGTAAGGGAAGGGTGCCTGGTACTGCCCAGACTGGCAGGAGGGATTGCCTCATTAACTCCTCGTTAACTTTGCCCTGAGTGATGCTGTGGGTGCGAGAAACACCGGTGGCCCTCCTGCTTCCACTGACCTGAAGGTTCATTAAAGGCTGGAGGCGGGGCGTGACTCATCCAGGGCTGGGATTAAACAATCTGTTCAGATGGAAAGGTCTCATGATCAGAACTGAGCCTTTAAATAGTGCAGGGCCTCTGGTTTCTGGGGGAGAGGAGGCAGGGACACTCACGGAGGATCCTTTGGGTACCAGCGGGGGTCCCTGTGGTTGGGCTGTTCTTGTCACCGGAGGAGAGTTCAGGGGCCAAAGCCTCATTCCAGCCCCTGACTTGGCAGTCAGCTTTTTGTGCGAGTGTTTAGCTGGGAGACACGTGGCATCTGGGTTTGTGGGTTCAGCCAGGGCTCTCGGTATTGAACTTCGCGTTTCTACTTTTCTTTCCTTTTCCCTGTTTGTTTTTTTTTTTTTTTGCCTCAAATCACACTCAAGTAGACCAGGCCCGGTGCCTTCCTCTCCCTCCCATCCTTCCCTCTTCTAGATTCTTGGTTGAGCTTTGGATGGGAAGGGGCTGAATTCTAGATTCTCGCTTGAGCTTTGGAGGGGAAGGGGCTGAAGGAGGAACCCCCCCACCCTGCCCCCGCAGCATCCCCTTGTGGGAGCCGTGAGGAGGCTAAGAGGGCCTGAAGGGAGGCCGGTCCAGAAGCATTTGTCTGTCGGGGAAGTTGAGGCCCTTATAGAGCAACCAAGTCCAAGACGCTCCTGACCCAGACCAGGCCAGATGCTGGCCGGCGGTGGGGACTCAGGCTGAGCCGGCAGGGTGTAAGGAGATTGAGTGCAGCTTCAGGTGACCTTGTCTCTGCCCTGAAGCACAGCCATGTGGGTCTGAGAATCCCCTACTTCCAAAGAGCTCCTCTTAAGCTGGACACCGGCACTGCTGACCCCCACGGTGAGTCCCGTGTTCTGTGATGGGAGCTGCTGCCTTTGCTTCAGAGAGGATCAGAGGTGTTACCTGAGGAAGGGCGGGGTGGAGAGCCCCTCTTGGGCCATTCGGGGAAGCTTCAGGCTCATGATGGTCTTAGAAGAAGGTCCCTTTCTTGGATCACCTGATGTCAGGAGTCCAAGACCAGCCTGGCCAACATGGAGAAGCCCCGTCTCAACTAACAATGCAAAAATTAGCCAAGTGTGGTGGCTCACGCCTGTCATCCCAGCACTTTGGGAGGCAGAGGCGGGTGGATCACCTGAGGTCAGGCGTTCGAGACCAGCCTGGCCAACATGGTGAAACCCCGTGTCTACTAAAAATACAAAAAAAAAAAAAATAGCCGGGCATGGTGGCGGGCACCTGTAATCCCAGCTGCTAGGGAGGCTGAGGCAGGAGCATCGCTTGAACCTGGGAGGTGGAGGTTGCAGTGAGCCGAGATCATGCCACTGCACTCCAGCCTGGGCAACAGAGCGAGACTCGGTCTTGGGGTGGGGGGAGGAAAGGGTCCCTTTCTTTGTCAGCTTGATCGCCACCGCAGGACAACCCCACCCCTCACAGAGCCTGTCGTTTATTCCTTCTTGATGGTACCAGGTGTGCAGACCACGTGCACACCCCAGAGGTTCACTCTACCACTCACTTGGCCATCGAGGGTACACAGGTGCTGGGTACAAGATACAGATATGTCTTGGGCTCGTCTACTTTATTTTATAATCCAGTCTGGGCGTCAGGAAAGATCTCGCAGCCTTCTGCAATAGAAGTCTGGCCTGGCCCGGCTGCCCACCGCCCTTCCTTGTTTCCCGGTGGGAAGAAAGCTTCATCGTGCGTCTTCTCTGTTCACACACACCCCCATAGCGACCCCTCAGCCACAGACAGGGGACTACAGTGCTGCCTCCCCCGAGAGCTGGAGGCCCCTACACCAGCCCACCTCTTCCTGGGCCTATGTGTGGGTCCTGACTGCGGCCAGGCTGGCTGACAGGTTGGCAGTGGGGTCGGGCGACCCTCCCTCTTTTCCACAGCACTTACCCACCTGCCGAGTGGGCAGACCTCACTGCTGGGGCCTCATGAGTACTCTCTGATCTCTCTGCCAGGCCAGCTCCCAAGAGGCTTGCTTGAGTCCGCAGAGCGGGAACCCTGGACTCTGAGAATCTGATGAAGGTTCTGGAGGCCACTCAGACACAGAGCCACCCCATGCACACACTGTGTGCGACTTCAGAGGGGGCTGCAGACATCAAGGCGGGAACCCTGCTCTGAGTGAACTTGGCAAGGTGCCGCTTCTTGGTACCTAGGGAGGGTAGAAGGGCGCTGGTCCTCCCCGGCCTCCCTGCAGGCCACAGACGGCTTGGCCAGCCAGCGGTGCTGGGCGCGGTGCCCCAGCTTTTGGATGGCTCTGGACCAGGGAGAGGAGAACCTGCCAATCAAGGGGGTTCCTCAAAGGCCAAAGCTGCCTGAGCCCAGTGTTGCTGTAGTACCCAGAGGCAATGAGGCCCCAGACATTTTGGAAGGAGCCCCCAAGCCTGCAGGTGTGGCTGGGGGAGCTGCCCCAGGCATTTTGGAAGGAGCCCCCAAGCCTGCAGGTGTGAGTCTGGGGGAGCTGCCCCAGGCATTTTGGAAGGAGCCCCCAAGCCTGCAGGTGTGAGTCTGGGGGAGCTGCCCCAGGCATTTTGGAAGCGCCCCCAAGCCTGCAGGTGTGAGTCTGGGGGAGCTGCCAGGTGTTGGCCACAGGGCGCTGGTGCTGGAGAGGCCTGGCCCTCTGCTGAGTGGCCTCGCTCACTGCCCAGGTGGTTGGGAACTGGTCAGCAGGTGCTGTTCTTTGACCTCGTTTCCCCTGTGAACTCATGCTGGGGCAGGAAGATGTTTGTGTCCTGACGGCCCCCCAGCACCTTCGAGGAACAGACAGTCCCCTGCGCCTGTGACCTGCCTGCCCCACCCTGGGGAGAAACGCAGCGTCAGTCCTGGGTCCAGTGAGCCGTAGACCCTTGGCCCTCCAGGATGGGCCCTGGAGAGGCGGGAGGGGCCCGTGGAGCTGGTCCTGGGCTTCTGTAGAGAGGCCAGGAGGCCCCAGGATCCCCACAGAGACTTCCCCAGTCCCGCTTCAAGACAGCGGAACCAGCTCCTGAGCCGAAATCTGGAGGGATCTCCTTTCTGGACCGTGACCCCAGCCGGGGCTGGTACCGATGACCGGCACAGCCAGAGCCGTGACATCCACAGCGCCCTTCCCATCCGATGCCTGGATGCCGTGGCTGTGCTCGGGGAGGCCTCCGGGGTCCCCAGCCCCTCAGGCTCATGTGGCACAAGGTGCCAGAGAAGACAGGGCGCCAGGCCGGTGGGAGTCAAGGTTTCCCATTTTTCTCGTCTCAGTCTGCTACTTAACTGCTGTGTGCCCGCGAGTACATCCCTTTGCCTCTCTGGTTCTCTGGTATCAGCTCAATGAAGGAGCTGAACAGGATGATCTCCTGGAATCCAGTTCATGTGATGATCTTGGCCATGTCTCAAGATTCCTAGTCCTAAACCTTAAACCCTGAGCACCCTGGGAGAGTCTGTCACAGGGCTGCACCTGGGCCAATGCCAGCCATTCAGTGGACACGGGAGCAGGGGGTTTAGTGGGAACACAGGGCTTCTTGAGCCCTGTCCTGAAGCAGCCCCGGCGGGGAGCCATTGTCACCTCCTTCCCCCATGCCCCAGTTGGTTCCTCTGGCCTGTGAGTATTGCCGGAGCACCTTCCACGTGCCAGGCCTGCAGGAACTAGGGACACAGAGGCGCCCGAGACAGACGAGACCCTGTCTGCAGGAGGAGTCCGTCAACAAATGAGATCCTTGCCGGTCAGATGAGTGCTGTGAAAAAAATAAACACAACTGGGTAACGCAGTAGAGAGTGACGGGGGGATGCCTGGCTTGAGAGGATCACTTTTGAACGAAGATTTAAATGACAAGAAGAATTCAGCCATAAAAAACCTGGGGGCAGTGCATTCCAGGCCAAAGAACCGGCAAGGTCCACACCCCGAGGCAGGTGTGCTCAGAGGCAGAGGGGGACAGTGTGGGGCGTTACGTGGGGTCAGGGGACGGCGGCCAGGCGACGTGGGGCCCTGCGGTTCAGGACAGGGCCTTTAATCCGAATGCAGTGGGAAGCCGCGGGGTGTTCAAGCACAGTTCTGTGACGATATGTTTTGAACACGTACTGTACGAGGCATCATTCTTAGCCTGTGACGCAACTGAGGTGACACTTACAAGGTGCTGTTATTCACACTGTTTATTTATTTATTTGTTTGGGTTCTTTTGTTTTTGTTTGCTGTTGTTGTTTTGAGACAGAGTCTTGCTGTGTCGCCCAGGCTGGAGTGCAATGGCGCGATCTCGGCTCGCTGCAGCCTCCGCCTCCCGGGTTCAAGCGATTCTCCTGCCTCAGCCTCCTGAGTAGCTGGGATTACAGGTGCCCGCCACCACGCCCGGCCAAGTTTTGTATTTTTTTTTTTTTTTTTTTGAGACGGAGTCTCGCTGTCGCCCAGGCTGGAGTGCAGTGGCGCAATCTTGGCTCACTGCAGGCTCCGCCCCCTGGGGTTCACGCCATTCTCCTGCCTCAGCCTCCCGAGTAGCTGGGACTACAGGCGCCCGCCACCTCGCCCAGCTAATTTTTTGTATTTTTAGTAGAGACGGGGTTTCACCGTGTTAGCCAGGCTGGTCTTGAACTCCTGACCTCAGGTGATCCACCCGCCTCAGCTTCCCAAAGTGCTGAGATTACAGGCGTGAGTCACTGCGCCAGGCCTAAATGTGTTTTGAATTTTGTTTTACATTTTTAATTTTTTTTTTTTTTTTTTTTGTGGGAGTCTCACTCTCTCGCCCAGGCTGGAGTGCAGTGGCACCATCTCGGCTCACTGCAGCCTCCATCTCCCAGGCTCAAGCAATCCTCCCACCTCAGCCTCCCAAGTAGCTGGGTCTACAGGCATGTACCAACATGCCTGGCTAATTTTTGTATTTTTTGTAAAGACGAGGTTTCGTTATGTTGCGCAGGCTGATGTTGAACTTCTGGCTTCAGTGGATCCACCTGCCTCCGCCTCCCACAGTGCTGGATTACAGGCGGGAGCCCCCGTGCCTGGCCCAGACTGTTTTTATATATGAGGAATGAGGCTCAGAGAGTGACTCAGATGAAGTCACGTGAGTGGCTTAGCCGAGGGGCGACGTTCAGACCCCGGCCACTCAGCCTCAGCGCAGGCTCTCACCCGCGGTGTCCTGCCTTCCGTGGCCGGTTGGGGTTGGGCTGCGTGCCCCAGATGGGAGCGTCTGGAGACGCCGGGCTCCTGCCCGTCAGGCATCAGTGTGGTGCCCGTCCTGGCACGCTGTGCATAGCAACAGGCAAGACGGTTCTTCTCGACGACGCCACTGAACGTGAGACTCGGAGCAAGGCAAGGCCTGGGAGGGGCCGCTCAGAGCTGACCTGGGCCCTGGAATTGCTGGAGCCCCTCACGTCCCCGGCAGCAAGCTCCATGCCCAGAAAGTGTTCTGGGCCCGGGCAGGGAGGGTGAAGCTGGTATCAGAGAAGGCTGTTGATGCTGCTTTTTTTTTTTTTTTTTTTTTTTTTGAGATGGAGTCTCGCTCTGTCGCCCAGGCTGGAGTACAATGGCACAATCTCGGCTCACCGCAACCTCCGCCTCCTGGGTTCAAGCGGTTCTCCTGCCTCAGCCCCCTGAGTAGCTGGGTTTACAGGCATGTGCCACCACGCCGGGGTAATTTTTGTATTTTTAGTAGAGACAGGGTTTCTCCATGTTGGCCAGGCTGGTCTCGAACTCCTGACCTCAGGTGATCCTCCCACCTAGGCCTCCCACAGTGCTGGGATTACAGGTGTGAACCACCGCGCCCAGCCCTGTTAATGTTTCTTAACCACTCCAGGTCCAGCTCGAGGCTTCAGAGCCCATGGAGGTCTGACAGGTCCTTGGCCTTCCCGTGGCCTCCAGCGTGAAGCTTCCTGGTCAGGACCACAGAAGGCCTCTCATCTTGGACTTTGACCTCTGAGGGCGCCCCTTTCCTTTCAGGACAGGGCCTCCGTGTTGCTTTGGCCCTGGCCTGTTCCTTTTCTCAAGAGGGCCCCACTGCCCCTGCCCTTGCCACTCTGGCATCCTCGACCTGCCCTGGGCTGGGGCAGGGCCGGCTTCCTGGCTGGTATTTGTAGCCCAGTTCTGAGCTGAAGCTGAAGCCTCCAGGCTGCCTGCACAGGGAGGCAGTGGTGGGGTGGGCTGGCCCTGAGGAAGACGGAGCCCTAGGCCGCTGGGGGAGATGTGCCTGGCTGTGGGGCCTCCAAGAGCAGCCCAGGTTTGGATTTTGTCTGCTTCTCCTCAAGGTCAGCCATGCCCAGCCCGGGGGCTAAAAGCAAAGTGGGTGCCAGGGCAGGCAGAGGCTCTGGAGTGGACGTGGGGCCGGCAGAGGCGCTGGAGTGGACGTGGGGCCGGCAGAGGCGCTGGAGTGGACGTGGGGCCGGCAGAGGCGCTGTAGTGGACGTGGGGCCGGCAGAGGCTCTGCAGTGGACGTGGGGCCGGCAGAGGCGCTGGAGCGGACGTGGGGCAGGCAGAGGCTCTGCAGTGGACGTGGGGCCGGCAGAGGCTCTGGAGCGGACGTGGGGCAGGCAGAGGTGCTAGAATGGACGCTGGGGAAGGCAGGTTGCTGCGGGTGCTAAGAGGCTAGCCTGCCTTGGACAAAAGCGTCGTTCAGAGCTGCTAATCCCCTTCCTCCCATGAGGCTTGGGGAACTTCGAAGTTCTCTGGTGTTGGAGGGGAAGCCAGCCGAGGCCCTGGGACACGGCATCAGCCCGAGCCTATCTGTGGCTGGCCTGGGTATGGCAGGTGGGCACACCTTGGCTGCAGGACACCTTGGCTACAAGGGAGCCTGGCTGACCCTGCAGGGTGAGGGCTGGAGAGGCGGAGCCTGCCTGGCCTAGCAGTGTGGATGCCAAGCCATGGGAAGATGTGTGGAGAGTTTATGGAGCCTGGCCCGGTGTCCCCAACCCAGCTGCTGAGCTGGAAGCCAGGGGTAGGTCCTGGCAGCCCCTCCCTCTCTGCCCTGCCTCTCTCGGAGTCGCTCGGAGCAGTCACGTTGACGGAATCCTCCGGCGCCTCCTCGAGGGAGGAGAGGCAGGGTCTTGGCAACTCCCGTCTCCCCCGTTGCCAGCTTGCCAGCCCCGCCGTGCCTCTCACGCCTGTGGTCTGCCCCAATGACAGGCCGGCTTCGGTGTCCCAAGGGGACCCAGCCCTGAGCGTGGGGCTGCCCTTGGGGGAGGGCAGGGGAAAGCCAGCCCGGGCTGCCACCGTGGCCGCTGGCCTGGGAGCCCCAGGAAACGTGCCCACCCTCAGACCCGATGCCTGGCTCAGGGCCTGGGCTCCGCGGCCCCTCCAGGGCAGGCGTGAAATGTGCCCACACAGCTCCACCTTCCACGTGGTTCCCTGTCCGGGGGCCACTTGCACTGAGGTCCTTCTGGAGTCATTTTCTGTTTTTTTTTTTTTTTTTTTGAGACAGAGTCTTGCTCTGTTGCCCAGGCTGGAGTGCAGTGGTGCTATCTTGGCTCACTGCAACCCCTGCCTCCCGGGTTCAAGTGATTTCCGGCTAATTTTGTATTTTTAGTAGAGATGGGGTTTCGTCAGGTTGGCCAGGCTGGTCTCGAACTCCTGAGCTCGAGTGATCCGCCCGCCTCTGCCTCCCAGAGTGCTGGGATTACAGGCATGAGCCACCGCGCCCGGCTGGGAGTCATTTTCTAGCGTTCCTGTCCCACCTCTCAGGAACAGATTTACCACCTTTGTTGTGAAGAAGCATTTTTTTTTTTTTTCTGCCGCCAGGCTGGAGTGCAGTGGCACAATCTCAACTCCGGCTCACTGCAACCTCCGCCTCCCGGGTTCAAGCGATTCTCCTGCCTCAGCCTCCCCAGTAGCTGGGATTACAGGCACCCGCCACCACGCCTGGCTAATTTTTGTATTTTTAGTAGAGACGGGGTTTCGCCACGTTGGTCAGGTTGGTCTCGATCTCCTGACCTTGTGATCCGCCCGCCTCGGCCTCCCAAAGTGCTGGGATGACAGGCGTGAGCCACCGCACCTGGCTGAAGAAGCACTTTTTTTTATGAACCTCTGCAACCCCCTCTGAGGGAAACCCTCCCGCATTCTGGGATGCCGGGGCTCAGAGGGTGGAGGGTAGAAGAGCGCCAGCCGTGAGAGGCAGGATGGGGCGGCCCCCGAGGGCAGGGCTGTGCCTGGAGGCAGGGCTCCTCGGGGGGTCAGCTCCTGGGCGGTGGGAGTGACCGAGTGGGCTCCTGAGGGAAGCGGCTTTCAGGAAGGAGGCGGAGGCCTGGGAGCTCTTGGGGCCCTGGCAAATGTGGTCTTCAGATTCCCGTCGTCCAGTGAGCCCCTGGATCACGTCCTGAGTGGCGTCCACTGAAGGCTGCTTGGGACCTCTGCTCCCCCCTCCACTGAGACCCCCAGTGGCCAGTTCTAAGTCCCACCTGCCTTGGGCAGGGCCACCACAGGCCCCTTACTGTGGATTAAAGGGCCCTGGGTGAGGGCTTGTGGGAGGGGAGGTGGTGGAAACCATCTCCGAAGACCTTGGGGCGAGCTGCGTGCTGGAGTGGAGAGTGTGGCCCAGCAGGCAGGAGCACTGGGTTGGAATGGGGGCTCTGCCACCTCCGAGGGAGCAGGAGTGGAGACCGGAGGGAGCGTGCCCCTGAATCCGAGCACGGGGAGCTGGCCGGGAGCAGCCCTCCGGGCAGAGGCAGGAGAAATGGGGTCACCTGCCCCAGGGGGTGAGAGGTGAGCCGAGAGGAAGGGCTGAGACCCTCAGGGGCATCCCCAGGATGTTCCTGAAACTCAGCCCTGGAGGACGCTCAGGTGTGCGTGGAGCACCCTCTGCCCTGGAGCCTCAAATCCTCTCCCCGCTGCGGGGCCACTTTGCTGATTCCTGCCCCAAACATGAGGTCACTTCGGTCCAGAAAGGCGAGGCGACCTCCACCAGCCACCTACGGGATTCTTGGCAGAGAATCCACGCTCACCTTCGGGTCTTCACTCCTGCTCCCTCGGAGGTGACGGAGCCCCATTTCAACCCGGTGCCCCTGCCTGCTGGGTTTTCGCCGCAGGGGACCTGGTCGTCTCCTGGACATGAGCCCCCAGCGCCAGCGTTTCTCTTTGGGAGAGGCCTGAATGCGCAGTCATGATTTGACCAGGCGAAGTGCCCAGACAAAGAGAAAACAGTCGGCCGGATGCAGGGGCTCACGCCTGGAATCCCAGCACTTTGGGAGGCCGAGGCGGGTGGATCACCTGAGGTCAGGAGTTGGAGACCAGCCTGGCCAACACGGTGAAACCCCGTCTCTACTAAAAATACAAAAATTAGCCGGGCGTGGTGGCTCGTGCCTGTAGCCCCAGCTACTCGGGAGGCTGAGGCAGGAGAATCGCTCGAACCCGAAGGTGGAGGTTGCAGTGAGCTGAGATCGCGCCACTGCACTCCAGCCTGGGCGACAGAGTGCGACTCCGTCTCAAAAAAAAAAAAGAAGGAAATAGTTGAGCTGCTCTCAGTGACCATGTACGGCCCAGTCGTCGACCCCTGGCCCAGTCGTTCGTCCGCCTTTTGGCTCCACGATGTTTTGCAGCCTGTTTCTGTCTCCTGCCTGTGGCCCACCTTGGGGAGGCCCCAGTGCTCGTGTGCCCCTGGTGGTCTTCCCAGCCTGACCCTTCACGAGCTCCCTCTGTCTCCCTGCTTCAGGTGATCAGACATCCCCCAAGTACCTGCTCCCCTGGGCCCATGGAAGGCACCTGTCTGCTGGGACCAGAGGGTGAGCAGTCAGGTGTCCCATCCACCAACGTCCCAGGGGCCAGCCCCTCCACCCCGGTGCTAATCTCATCAGGAAATAGCACAGTCCACATTTCCCAGGAGTTATAAATAGCCAGCGCAGTTGCGGGCAGCAGCGTTTCTCTGGAAAATGTACGCTGTGCCTCTCCCTCCCTCCTCTGTGTTTAAATGATATCCTGAAATAGACTTGGTTTCTGGAGGCTGATAGCCTCCTGGGAAACAGAGCGTCGTTGTCAGGGCACCGTGGGGCCAGGCAGGCCTCTCTGAGCGGATACCAGGGCCACACCTGCAGCAGGCACCAGGGCCACACCTGCAGCAGATACCAGGGCCACACCTGCAGCAGGCACCAGGAAGATGTCAGGGCTTGAGGGGCTTACAGCTTAGGAAAGTGCCCCTGGCCCAGGCCTGGCCTCAGAAGGGGCTGGAGTGTGTGAGACAGCAGCAAGTGTCGCCTGGGAGGCTGCAGAGGGTAGATCTTAGTGGAGCAGGAAGGCAGAGAGGACCCAAAGTTTCCCACTGTGACCTGGGGCTCTCCGAGAAGGCTCTCTGGAGGAGGCGGGGCGAGAACTGGGCCTTAGCATCAGGAGGTGCAGTCCTGGGTCAGATGTGCCCAGGTTGAACCTGGCAGCTGGAGCGGAAGTGATGGGCACGAGGCAGCGGGAGGGCTGTACTGGGGGTGGCCTCCCAGCACCAGGTCTGCCCACCGGGTCGGGACACACACCAGGAGGCCCGATGTTGCCTTTCTGAGGAAGCAGCAGTTACAGCAGCTGCGGGTCATGGACTTCACACATTCTGCAGTTTCAGCAGAGAGGGTGCTGGGGGCCTTGATTTTGAACCCCAGCTCTGACTTCCTAGGTGTGCACTGGGTAAATTCCTCACTCTCGTTAAGCTGCAGCATCCTCATCTGTGAGATGGGAGCGGCTATGAGAGCTTAAACCGCATATGTCTGCTATCATGATCATGAACGCAGATGCTGTGTGTAGAGGATTCATCAGTGTCAGACTTGCAGGAAGAGCTCGAGATAAGTCCGTTGCTCTCACTCTTCCATAACAGCCCTGTGAGTCAGGTGTGGATGCCTCCATGAGGAAATTGAAGTTCACGGAGGTGAAAGGCCTTGCCCGAGTGCGCACGGTTGAATGGGAGACTCAGATCAGCCTGCCTCCAAATCCTGCACACTCCCCCCGACCAGGTTGTGTCCAGGTCCCCCTGAGACTTGGGAAGGGACCATTGGCTCAGCTTCCTGCAGAAGCTGCCAGGAGGCACCCAGTCGTGGGAAGCTGGGGCGGAGGAGGGGCTGTGGGTGAATCGGACCAGGGGCCATGGAATTGGCCTGAGGCTTATGCTGATGTGTGGAGAGACCTGCCTCAAGAAGGGGTGGTCTCAAAACATCGAACTGCGCCCCATAAATACATACAACTGCAATGTGTCAATTAAAAAATAAGGGCCCGGGCCAGGCGTGGTGGCTCACGCCCGTAATCCCAGCACTTTGGGAGGCCGAGGTGGGCGAATCACGAGGTCAGGAGATCAAGACCATCCTGGCTAACACGGTGAAACCCCGTCTCTACTAAAAATACAAAAAATTAGCCGGGGGTGGTGGCGGGCGCCTGTAGTCCCAGCTACTCAGGAGGCTGAGGCAGGAGAATGGCGTGAACCCGGGAGGCGGAGCTTGCAGTGAGCCAGGATCGCGCCACAGCACTCCAGCCTGGGCGACAGAGCAAGACTCCGTCTCAAAAATAAATAAATAAATAAAAAATAAGGGCCCACACAGTGGTACATGCCTGTAATGCCAGCTCTTCAGGAGGCTGAGGCAGGAGGATCACTGAAGCCCAGGGCAACATAGCAGCCTGGACGGCACAGTGAGACCCTGTCTCTAGAAAAATAAATACAGGCCGAGTGCGGTGGCTCACGCCTGTCATCCCAGCACTTTGGGAGGCCAAGGTGGGCGGACCACCTGAGGTCTGGAGTTCAAGACCAGCCTGGGCAACATGGTGAAACCCCATCTCTACTAAAAATAAAAAAATTGGCCAGGCATGGTGGCTCACACTTGTAATCCCAGCACTTTGGGAGGCCAAGGTGGGTGGGTCATTTGAGGTCAGGAGTTCGAGACCAGCCTGGCCAACATGGTGAAACCCTGTCTCTACTAAAAATACAAAAATTAGCCGGGTGTGATGGTGCGCACCTGTAGTCCCAGCTAATTGGGAGGCTGAGGCAGAAGAATCGGTTGAACCTGGGAGACGGGTTGCAGTCAGCCGAGATCACACCACTGCACTCCAGCCTGGGCAACAAGAGTGAAACTCTGTCTCAAAAAAAAAAAAAAAAAAAAAAGAGGGCATGGCCGCTCCAGAATGTTTCTTCCAAGGGTAGCATCTCAGTTGACAAAGAGCATTTGATTCCTCCACCCTGTGTGGCTACTGCTGGGGGACAGAGCTGGGGACAGACCCAGGCCCGGCTCCGTGTCCAGACGAGATGAAGGAACTACGAGGGACAGCCTGTGTGATCCAGGAGGGTTTGCAAAGAACAGAAGCAGCTTAGAGGGGAGAGAGGTTTCGGGAAAGTAAGGCCAGAGCTGGGGCTTCCTTTGAGACCCTGTAGGACCCCTGCCTCCAGCCGGGCTGGTGATGGCCTCACGCTTCCCGTGTGTGAAGAGGTGCCCGGAGCAGTGGTTCTCCCTGAGGGGCACTTGGTTCTCTGCACACACCCAACTTCTGTCTCCTGTTCTGGGTTCCATCCCTTCTCTGGGCAGGGCGAACCCAGTGCAGACCCAGACCCCGTCGGAGGCTTGGGTACCACCTGCCCCCAGCCGGTGTGTGGGTGATAGATGTGGGAAGGACCTACATCGAGCTGCAGGAAGCCCAAGGCTGACCCAGATCCAGTTTCCCTTCCGTGATGACAGTGGCCTGTTATAGCAACTGCGTTCAAACCGTGGCACGCACACCTCAGAGTGCACAGAGACGTTCTGAGGGCGACGTGGGCAGGAGAGTTTTCAGGAAATCAGTTTGCAGATTCTCAGCTGCCATAGGTGCTATTGCCAGAAAGCCATCTGCCTGAGAGCCAGCATCTCGCCATCCTGTCCTCTGCAGAGGAGAGGCCTGAGGCTGGCTGTCGGGGCTTGGCCCGGGGTGCGCAGACCTCCTGGGTGGGGAACAGAGGGGCTTTTAGAAATGTTGGGGTAGGGGCCAGGCATGGTGGGTCACACCTGTAATCCCAGCACTTTGGGAGGCCGAGGCAGGTGGATCGCCTGAGGTCAGGAGCTCGAGACCAGCCTGGCCAACATGGTGAAACCCCATCTCCACTACAAATAAAAAATTAGCTGGGCGTGGTGGCAGGCACCTGTAATCCCAGCTACTCGGGAGGCTGAGGCAGGAGAATCACTTGAACCCGGGAGGTGGAGCTTGCAGTGAGCCGAGACTGCACCACTGCACTCCAGCCTGGGCGACAGAGCGAGACTCCGTCTCAAAAAAAAAAAAAAAAAGAAACGTTGGGGTCAGTGTTCAGAAAGTAAAAGACTCTAGTGGCCACTTAGAACCTTTCAAAAGTCAGGTGGTATCCAGTTCTTTGCCTTCCACAAAACTGATGGAGGACTCAATTTTCAACTGAGAGATCATTTCAAGTAATTTTCAGTAATAGGTATATATGCGATTTAAGGCGGATAGCATGGAGAGAGGTTAAAGAATGGTGTAACGCGGCTGTGATAAAACTCTTTTCGACCTCATCTACTTCTTTATGTGAACAAAATGTTTCATTGTTCACATATTTCTTGTTCATTTTAGAGACATGGTCCTACATTGCCCAGGCTGGTCTCGAACTCCTGGGCTCAAGTGGTCCTGTGGCTGGGAGCCACAGCACCTGCACATCTTTACAACAAAACCAGAAACATGAACCAAATTGATGCTGAGCCTCGTTTCACTCTAGCAAAAAATAATACCCTATAGATACGCGAACTAAAGCAAAAAATGTTCCGCCCATCTCATTGAGAGAGCATTCCACCAAAAAGTTACTCTGCTACTTAATATTTATTAAAATGTATAATGAGGCCAGGCGCGGTGGCTCACGCCTGTAATCCCAGCACTTTGGGAGACCGAGGCGGGTGGATCACCTGAGGTCGGGAGTTCGAGATCAGCCTGACCAACATGGAGAAACCCCATCTCTACTAAAAATACAAAAAATTAGCCGGGTGTGGTTGTGTGTGTCTGTAATTCCAGCTACTCGGGAGGCTGAGGCAGGAGAATCGCTTGAACCCAGGAGGCGGAGGTTGCTGTGAGCCAAGATCGCACCATTGCACTCCGGCCTGGACAATAAGAGCGAAACTCTGTCTCAAAAAAATAAATAAAATGTATATAATGTGTCGGCTTACTTTTTTTTTTTTTTTCTTGAGACAGGGTCTCACTCTGTCGCCAGGCTGGAGTGCAGTGGTGTGATCTTGGCTCAATGCAACCTCCACCTCCTGGGTTCAAGCGATTCTTCCATCTCAGCCTCCCAAGTAGTAGCTTGGACTACAGTGCCCGCCACCACACCCGGCTCACTTTTGTATTTTTAGTAGAGACAGGGTTTTGTCATGTTGGCCAGGCTGGTCTCGAATTCCTGACCTCAGGTGATCCACCAGCCTCAGCCTCCCAAAGTGCTGGGATTACAGGCGTGAGCCACCGTGCCTGGCTGTCTTTTTAATTATGTACTGCCAATCATGGTACTAACTAATCCTGAATATATTTTGAATATTTGGAGCCTTGTGGTCTCTGGAAATTTTTGTTTTCAATGTATACAGATTTTTTTTGTGGAAGCAAAATGTAATGGTGAATAAAGGACTTGAAAATATAAAAATATAAACTAGGACAACATTCTTTAGGAGAAATGGAATAGAAACAAATTCAAGGAGAGAAGATCCAGGAGCTCTGTGAGGGAAAGAAGAGCTTGTTTGTGTAGTTTTTTGTTGTTGTTGTTTTTTTTGAGACGGAGTCTCACTCTGTCGCCCAGGCTGGAGTGCAGTGGTGTGATCTCCGCTCACTGCAACCTCCACCTACTGGGTTCATGCCATTCTCCTGCCTCAGCCTCCCCAGCAGCTGGGACTACAGGCGCCCACCACCGCGCCCGGCTAATTTTTTGTATTTTTTTTTTTTTAGTAGAGACGGGGTTTCACCGTGTTAGCCAGGATGGTCTCGATCTCCTGACCTCGTGATCCGCCTCCCTCGGCCTCCCAAAGTGCTGGGATTACAGGCATGAGCCACCGTGCCTGGCCTGTTTTCTTAATATTGAATTTTGAGAGTTTTATATAATAAGCCCTGAAATTGGGTAATATTAGCCCTATAGCTGTGTTCTTTTTCAACATTGTTTAGATGTTTTTTCTTTTTTTTTGAGACGGAGTCTCGCTCTGTCGCCCAGGCTGGAGTGCAGTGGCGCGATCTCGGCTCACTGCAAGCTCTGCCTCCCGGGTTCACGCTATTCTCCTGCCTCAGCCTCCCAAGTAGCTGGGACTACAGGCGCCCGCCACCACGCCCGGCTAATTTTTTGTATTTTTAGTAGAGACGGGGTTTCACCGTGTTAGCCAGGATGGTCTCGATCTCCTGAGCTCGTGATCTGCCTGCCTTGGCCTCTCAAAGTGCTGGGATTACAGGCGTGAGCCGCCACGCCTGGCCTCGTGTAGTTTTTAAATGGATGAGTGTGGGTATCACGTCGCTGGGGTATTTAGATCCCACTGAATCCATGAGAAGGAATGATGTCACACTTTTATTTTAGGATGGCAATATTGACATGATTTTGGAAATCATACTCTTTGCAACTATTTAAACTTGGAAATGTTCAGATTTTGACTTCAGAAAGTGCCAGGGAGCGCACAGTTGCTCAGAATTAGTTCGCAGGTGCACAGGCAGACGGGCGCGAAGGCCCCCGAGTTACAGAAACAGAACGTGGAACAGTCCTGTGTGAGGGTTGCCTCTGACCTCCCCTGGGGTCCGCACCTCCCTGGGCTCCAGCCCGAGCCTGGGGACTTCCCCTGTGGAGGATTTGCTTATTTGGGAGCCAATGGCTTGACCCAAGTTTTCTCCCTGAATCTTCCCAGCAATCCCAGGGAGGCAGGTTCTGTTGCAGATGGAATAACTGAGGCTTAGTGAGTTTAAAACTTGCCAGGATTCAAACCCAGGCAGCCTCCTGTGCGCGGGCTCCTGACTCTTCAACACCTCCACGTGGATGGGCTGGTTCCCTCCTGATGGACTTGAGCGCCTCCTAATCAGGTGCTTACCTTTTGTGAGCCTCAGTTTCTGCATCTGTGAAATGGGGTAATAATACCCATGTCCCGGGCTGGCAGCCAGGAGTGCCTAACAGGGTGTGCCCTGCCTCCCCCACGGTGGGTAACAGAGTGTGCCCTGCCTCCCCCACGGCGGGTAACAGGGTGTGCCCTGCCTCCCCCACGGCGGGTAACAGGGTGTGCCCTGCCTCCCCCACGGCGGCCACAGGGGCCTGGGGGCTAGGGTCCCCCCAAAGGGTTGATTTCCAGGTAAACATCAGCTTATCCCAGCTGCTCACTTCCGCCTTCCTGACTGTGTAGCTGGCTCTGAGCAGTGCTGACCCACGGGGAGATCTCTGGCTTGGCCTCCGAGCTGGCACCTCTCTCACCCACATTCTCTCTCTGCAGCTGGACCCACAAACCGTGGAGACCAAGAACTGGCACACGGACGTGATTGAGATGAACGGGGTGAGCCGGGGATGGGAATGATCAGTGGCGTGAGCCGGGAGGTGGAACGTCTGTGCAGCAGGTGGGCAGCCCGGCCCTGTGGCTGCTCCTGGGGCCGCTGTGCCGCCTCGACCTCCCCGCAGCCCAGCCCCCTCTCCCCTCCTGCCCACACCCTGCCCGCTGCTGTCCTGCAGGTGTTGTGTTGAGGGAGACCTGGGTGTGAGCTAGCCCTCATTTGCAGTCTTGGGGAGGGGACCCCTGTGTTTTGGGGGCATTCCTCGGGCACTCACACCCTGGGGAATCTTTACCTGCCTCACCCCCCAACCAGATCAAAGTGGAATTTTCCATGAAATTCACCAGCCGAGATATGAGCCTGAAGAGGACCCCGTCCAAAAAGCAGACCGGCGTCTTCGGTGTGAAGATCAGCGTGGTGACGAAGTAGGTGCTGCCTCGGGTCTCCCAGTCCTGGCGTCGGTGCCCCGGGTCCCCCCCAGCCCGGGCCCCCCAGCCCTCCCCGCCGGTGCCCATCCTGGCACCTAATCAGTTACCCCCCGCTCGGCGGTGGCAGATGGCCGGTGTGGATCTAGAGTGGCCGCAGAGGCGCTCACAGGACACTTCAGAAGCACGCGAGCCAGCACCTAAACGCTGGAAGGTCTCTTGTGAGATCCCAGATCGTCTGCTCCTCGTAACAAGCGGGAAGCTCTGTCAGCCGGGGGCCTACGTTTGGGCTCGGCACCAACGGGGACTGGCGGCCCCTCGGGAAAGGGCACGTGTCCCCCGGTTCACCACCACCCTGGCCCCTTGTCTCAGGCCTGACCCACCTCCTCATGTGGGCTGCCTGCTGGGCCTCCTACAAGCATCTGAATCTGGGGGACGTTCTTTCCCTAGAGTCTCGGCCTTACCTTCCCAAGTTCCCAAGGCTTCTCCTGCCCACGTCCGTCGATGCCCCTTCGGCAGGCCTCGGGTGGGCTGGCTGGGGTGGGGTGCGGTGGCCTCTTTCTCTGCCCTGCCCCTGCCCCCGCCCCAGCTCTCCATCCCAAATGCTAGAAGCTCTCCAGGGTGTGTGTGTGCTGGGTGGGGGTTGCTACGGGAGAGCTGTCGTGGGGGCTGCCCTCCACCCATCCTCACGCTCCACCCCAGGCGGGAGCGCTCCAAGGTGCCCTACATCGTCCGGCAGTGTGTGGAGGAGGTGGAGAAGAGGGGTATCGAGGAGGTTGGCATCTACAGGATATCGGGCGTGGCCACGGACATCCAGGCGCTCAAGGCCGTCTTCGATGCCAGTGAGTCTGGGAGGCCCAGCCGGGGCAGGTGTGGCTGTGTCTGAGCAGGCTGGTGGGATGGACAGGAGAGCTCGGGGGAACCAGGAGCCTCCCTGGAGAGGAGGCTTGCTCTGCTTCAGAGTCCCCGTGGCAAGTGCTTTCTCTTGTAATCCCCTCCCCTCCAATCTCTTGTCCCTTGCTGCAGGTAAGCAACTGCAGAAACTCACAAGGGCCGACTCACTTGCCCAGGATGACCCAACTTGTAGGTTTTGGTTCTGGACTTAAAACTCAGATCTGACTCCAGTGTCTTTCTTGCTAGTTCCTGGGTGCCTGGTGAGCCGCAGGGAAAGAGCTTTGAGCCTGCACCTGCTGTCTCCAGGGCCCCAGGTCCCCTCTGGGGCAGTGCTGCCTCTGCGTGAAGCCCACCATGGTGAGGCCTGACCTTTCTGGTTTCTCCTCCCTGCTCCTGCTGGTTCAGGTGCAGCAGCCACATACCCCACTGTCAAGAAACCTGCACTGGCCAGGCAGGGATGAATCCGTGGGGAGCCTGGAGTGGAGGACGGGGTGGGGCCTGGGAACTGGCCGGCGTTGGTGCCTCTGTGCAGCCTAGAAGCTGAGGCTTTGTCGGAACATGCTTTTACGTGTGAAAAGTGTGCAATGCCTTCCAGAGAGGGGCTTAGCGATGGAGAGGTTCCAGTCGGAAGGAAGCTGCAGGCCACATGGTATGAATGTGGCTCTGAACTCTGGGTGATGGATTTCACTCCCCAAACACCCTTTCCCAAGCAGCCACAGCAGATGGCCCCCAGGCTATCTCTCCCTGTTCCCCCAACCCCGACCCACAGAGCCGAGTCACAGACACCTGTGGGCCCTCTCTACATCCTGCTCTTCCAGGGGAGACCAGAACCAGAGCTGGAGTGGGTGGGGGCTGTGTCAGGATGGGTCGGGGGTGGAACGGGGCTGCTGGCCCAGCTAAGGCTGCCTGACCTCGGCCCCACCCCTGCAGATAACAAGGACATCCTGCTGATGCTGAGTGACATGGACATCAACGCCATCGCCGGGACGCTCAAGCTGTACTTCCGGGAACTGCCCGAGCCGCTCCTCACGGACCGACTCTACCCAGCCTTCATGGAGGGCATCGGTGAGGCCCTGAGGGCTCCTAGGACTGGGCTGGGCCAGACTGAGCCAGGACTCCCTGCCCGGAGAAGTAACCAGCAGGAGAAATATCTGTGGCTTCCTTTGCTGGCTGACCTTCCCAGTGCACTGGGGCCTGTGGCTGAGGGGTCCGAGGGTGAGGTGTGGCCTGCTGGGACCTGGTGCAGACACTGGGCCCTTTCTCGCCTGCCTCTTGCCCCTGATGTCCCCATGGGCAGCCCCTTCTGCTTCCTATTTGGACGTTGGCCTCTTGCTTGGAAGCTCGAGCATCCAGGGAAGACTGCCCTGAGGTGAGTGGCCAGAAGCCAGCATCCCAGAACCAAGGAGGAGGCTGGCTTAAGCCATAGGGCACTCGAGATGGGTTGTGCTGAGCCTTCCAGCGGGACCACACACCGTCCCGTCACCTCTGCGGAGGGCCCCGGCCAGCAGGCCTTCCGCCTCCACCCACCTGGGCCAAACCCAGCCCCAAGGAATCCCTTCAGCCTTCTCTGCTCCTGGGGCAGACTGGAGCTTCAGCCCCCACGGAAGGCTGCTTGCACCCACGCTCCAGCAGCAGAAGGGGTGGAGAAAGAGAATCCACCGCTGGCAGGATATGTCCCTACTGGCTTAACCTTAGCCACACAGACCAGGGGGTGTCCTGTTACGAGACAGGGGATGCCCCAGCACCCAAGGCCTATGCAGTCAGCTGCAGGAAGGGGGTCTGCTCCCACCAGCCGGCCTCCTGGCTGAGTTACCAGTCGTGGTGGGGCCTCCTGGAGGAAGCAGCTGCTGACAGCCCACCCAGACACCAGGCCCTCCCCTGTGGGGTCTGCTCCCCAAAGGCCTGGAAGCCTGGGCTCTCTCCCGCAGGGGCCCACAGCCTCACGACCACAGGGGCCCTGGCGGGGAGCCCCAGGAGCCAAACGCCACACTGGCCCTTCTCTCCCACAGCCCTGTCAGACCCTGCTGCCAAGGAAAACTGCATGATGCACCTGCTCCGCTCCCTGCCCGACCCCAACCTCATCACCTTCCTCTTCCTGCTGGAACACTTGAAAAGGTAACGGGGAGCGGCCCCAACCCCACCTCCTCAGTCCCTCCTCATGAAAAGGTAACGGGGAGGGGCCCCAACCCCACCTCCTCAGTCCCTCCTCGTGAAAAGGTAACGGGGAGTGGCCCCAACCCCACCTCCTCAGTCCCTCCTCGTGGGCGCTGGCCTCCATCGGGCTGTCTGTGGGGAGTGAGAGTTTGCTTTCCAAGTTCTTGCACTCATGTTTTTCTGTTTTGAGAAATATTTGGGTCCCGTAACCAGTAGTAACCTCAAATATTGACCATAGAATGCTCAGAATGGCAGGGTGAGAGCCCAGGACTACAGGCAGGTTTTATAATCAGTGGGTCCCAACCTACTGGTGGTTCATTCAACGAATGTAGCCATTTCTAGATGCAGTGGGGGGTGGACAGCAGTGGGGGGTGGACAGCAGTGGGGGGTGGACAGCAGTGGGGAATGGACAGTAGTGGGGATGGACAGCAGTGGGGGAATGGACAGCAGTGGGGATGGACAGCAGTGGGGGACAGACAGCAGGAGGATACATTGTAAGCCTTGATGCAGGTGCTGCTTTTCAGTTACATAGAGACGTGTGGACTGTGTTACAGCATGGGTTGTATTGTGGGCCACAGTCAAAAAAGGTGAAACCCACTGGTCTTGGCCCACACCTCACTAGACATAGGGAAACTGAGTCCCCACACCAGGCGGAGACTTGCTTGGGTTAGTAGCAGACCTGTCCTTAGAGCCCTCAACTTCCAGATCCTAAATTCAGACCCTTCTTGCCTTCCCACCACCCTTTCTAGTCAGGTCCAACCAAGAGTGGCTAAAGTTGGTTGTACTTGTAGCAAAGTTCAGAGGTCCTCAGGCTTGCGTGGGGAGGTGGTCCCTGGGCGTCCCTTAAACCCACCTGCACGCCAGGACCGGGGAGCCCCCTCAGACTGCTCTGCGGAACAATTCTTCCCTGAGCTCAGCCCCAGCTCAGGGCCAGGCCCCCCGCTGCAGCTCAGCCACGCCAGGCTCGGGAGAGCCAGTGGAGACCTGGACGCGCCCGGGGCTGGTGTCTTGTTTTTCCCATCATGAAACATTTTTCCTCTGGTTTGGCCAGGACTAGAGCCCCAACCAATTCCGAAAGCATTTGGCAAGCCTTGTGGGGAGGAGTGGGAAGGGAAAATTCATTCGGCTTCCACCCTGGGAACTGGGCACAGTCTGTTCCCACATCTGGGCCCCTGGCTGGACCGTGTGCGCGCGTGTGGTGAGGGGCTGGCCCCGCTGCACAGCTGCCTGTTGGCATCACAGTGTTTGTTTGCCTGTTTCCAAAGCAGGCGCAGCCACAGCTCCTGCCTGGAGGGTGGGAATGATGGTATTGAGGGTGAGAGGCGCTGCTTAGGGTGGGTGGGTCTCAGCCCAGAAACATTTTTTGAGACTGAAGGAGAACCAGAGGCCCTCTGATATGTTTGCTGACCCTGGGCCTGCCTGGACACCAGCCCTGATGGCAGCTCCTGCTGTTACCCCAGGGAAGCATCGCAGAGCATCTGGCCTGTTGAGTAAGAGAAGCAGGAGAGGATCCAGAGGGAGGACAATCCTGGGTCCCACGAGGCAGACGGAGAGGCATAGGAGGCAGCCCTGGGTCCCATGAGGCAGACCCTTCCGGAGAGGCACAAGAGGAAGCCCTGGGTCCCACGAGGCCGACCTTTCCGGACAGGCACGGGGGGACAGTCCCCGGGCTCATCTGGAAGTAGGGCTGCTCCTGCCCCAGCACAGCTGGCAGAGCCCCGGGTCTAGCTAGTGACTCCTGCTGGGCTCCAGGCCCTGCCTGCCTTTCTCCCCTGCCCCACCCACCTTAACTCTTCTTTTGGGCCACTTAGCACATGAGAAAGCAACAGAGCGGTAGGTCCTGGAGGCAGCTACCGGGGTTCAAATCCCAGCTCTACCAGTTGCTGGCTGTGTGACCTTGGGCAAGTCACTTAACCCCTCTGTACTTCGGTTTCTTCATCTACACGATGGGGGTGACGATAATCATATTTACCTCAAAGGACTGCGGCGAGTGTGAGTTGTTCCAGGGAGTTTTCAGAACAGTATCTGCTCTCAGGCAAGGGAGCTGGAGTTGGCATCTGTGGGCTCCCTGGCTCTGGCAGTTCACCATCAGTTCAGGGGGACCCAGCAGCTGGAGATGTTAGCACAGAACACTGGCACATGGCTGGGGCCCTGCTCTCCTGGATGAGTCCCCTTCCCCCGGGGGAGGTCCCCACTCCTAGGAGACAGAGACGAGGTGACCCCTTCCAGGAGTCCTTCAGGAGTTCCCACAGCGAAGGCCAAGGGTCCTGGAGCTCCGAGTGGCTGCTGAGGAAGGGCTTCTTTCCTCCCCATCTTCTCCTTCTTAGGGTTGCCGAGAAGGAGCCCATCAACAAAATGTCACTTCACAACCTGGCTACCGTGTTTGGACCCACGTTACTGAGACCCTCAGAAGTGGAGAGCAAAGCACACCTCACCTCGGCTGCGGACATCTGGTCCCATGACGTCATGGCGCAGGTACCCTGGCACCGCCCGGGCCCGTGGCTGGCGGAGGGTGACGGTCCCATGACGTCATGGCGCAGGTACCCTGGCACCGCCCGGGCCCGTGGCTGGCGGAGGGTGACGGTCCCATGACGTCATGGCGCAGGTACCCTGGCACCGCCCGGGCCCGTGGCTGGCGGAGGGTGACGGTCCCATGACGTCATGGCGTAGGTACCCTGGCACCGCCCGGGCCCGTGGCTGGCGGAGGGTGACGGTCCCATGACGTCATGGCGCAGGTACCCTGGCACCGCCCGGGCCCGTGGCTGGCGGAGGGTGACGGTCCCATGACGTCATGGCGCAGGTACCCTGGCACCGCCCGGGCCCGTGGCTGGCGGAGGGTGACGGTCCCATGACGTCATGGCGCAGGTACCCTGGCACCGCCCGGGCCCGTGGCTGGCGGAGGGTGAGACCAGCCCCTTAGGAGGAGAGAGAACAGCTCAGAGTCCCCACACCTCTTCCCTCGTGGGAAGCTGGGTTGATGGGCTATGGGGTGTCACCAGGGAGGCAGGACTGTAGACACTTCTGCCCCTCCCAGGCCAAAACAAACATGTGAGCCTAGACCAGGGCCCAGAGATGCTGGCTGCATTCTCAGGAGGGCCTCAGTCTCAGAAAGCAAGCCCAGGGGTGGGGAGATGCTGGGCCCTTGTCCTCATGGGTGGAAGCTCTGAGGTTGCTTCCAAGGGCGGGAGGCTTCCCTGGGATTCCTGCAAGACCCAGAGCAGGGGCCGGACTGTGGCCGCCTCAGGACAGAGCAGAAGCTTATGGCCAGGTTGGGGAAGTGGCCCTAGGCCCCCGACCCTCTGCCCCGTAGCACCTTCCACGGCTGCAGAAAGGCAAACACACCTGGGCTCCCCAGGAAGGGGCGGTGGCCGGAGCCAGTCTAGGGAGTGGGAGGGGCAACACAGGCTGGAGTCAGCAAGGACGAGGCCTAGGACAGGGAGCCCAGCCTCCGCCTTCCTGTCTCCCCACAGGTCCAGGTCCTCCTCTACTACCTGCAGCACCCCCCCATTTCCTTCGCAGAACTCAAGCGGAACACACTGTACTTCTCCACCGACGTGTAGCCCGAGGCAGGGTGGCTGCGGGCGGGTGGTGGAACCAGCCCCTCCAGCCTGGGGTCCAACTCAGACTTGAAAGACTGCAATAGAAAACTCCCAAACCCAGCACTCCAGACTCGAGGGAAGCCAGCTTCCAAGAACTGGAATGCGTACGTCTTTTGTGCCACCTTGTACAAAGCCGGCTGCCCAGCCCCAGCCTCACCACCGCATCCCACCTCCTGCCCTCCATACCTCTAGTTGTGTCTGATGCTCCGTGCTGTTCGGGAATTGTTTTATGTACACTTGTCAGGCAGAAAAGGTAGTGACCGGCCCGGCGTGGGCACACAGACAGCCCGCTTTGTTCTTTCATTTCCTCCAGCACTTTCTTTCCGCCTGAGTCCAGCCCAAGGCCTTTTATTTTGCGCTGTGTAACTGCTGCCAGCTTCTCTCTTGGCCCTGCTCCCAGATGGCGGTCTCCTGGCAGCCTCCCCTCAGTCTTCCTCCACCCGCTCTTCCTTCCCAGCCTGCCTGCATGCATGTGCACCCTTGGTCTTCGCTCCATCGCCTTGAAAGCTCTGAAGAGGCCCTGGGTTGCCGCGGCAGCAGTGGTCTGTTTGATGCTGCCGTTTGCCGCTGCCGGCCCCTCCTCAGACTCCGCCTTTGGGAGCACACCTGCTTTGCCTTGCTGCCTGTGCAAATGTTGGACAAGCAGACACACTCACACTCGTCCCCAGCTTAGCACAGAGCTGGAGCGCCCATTTCTGGAATTTTCCGTTTGGGAATCTCCACTTCTGGGGTTTACCTGTTCGGCCTCCTGTCTATCAGTGAGGCATCTCTGACTGTTTCTTCTACTGCTTTTCAGTTCCCTTCCCTGCTGTTCTATTTCCTTTGAGTGTAAAGACTCACAGGTGACCTGCTATCGAGATAGCCAGAGGGTCAGGAGAGAATGGGGGAGGAGGCGGTCAGGCTGCTGAGGAAACACCACAGGCTGAACGGGGGAGGAATGCACATGCCACGCTGGGTGTCCCGGGTCGCGGGGAGGCAGCTCAGCTCTTAGGAGCAAGTTGTGGGGGCTTTTCAAGAGGGGCCAGGCTTCCTGGAGGGTGACTGATGTGGCCGAAGCAGGTGTCCAGGCAGGTAGGCTGCAGCCAGGAGCTCCCTGGCACCGCAGGACCTCGTGGTACTCTTGCCTTAGATTTTACACACACTCCACAGCCAAGCACTGCCACGGTCCTCCAGGACCTGGGAAGCAAAGGCACAGGCCCACGGTGGCCAGCCATTGTGGTGCCGCCCCAGCTTCTGGATACAGCCTTTTGGGTAAACACTGGGAACTCCAGAAGTTGTGGGGAGAGTGGGGAATCAGACAGCCGCCTCTAGGGGCTGGGTTCTGCTGGGGCCTCCTTGTTGGTGCTGTAGGCACCCGCCAGGGAGCAGGG
The DNA here is from genome assembly GCF_000001405.40 of Homo sapiens. Lineage (NCBI taxonomy): Eukaryota > Metazoa > Chordata > Mammalia > Primates > Hominidae > Homo > Homo sapiens. The sequence goes on along the minus strand of NC_000017.11, from coordinate 1,004,670 downwards.
ACCCGACTTGCAGACGCATTGCCCGGTACTAGGAAGGAGTGAGGTGTGTTCCCACCGTACACTTCCCACACGAGCTGCGGCTGCCAGCCTCGGGCCATCAGCCTAGGAGAGCAGATGCAGCTCCAGGGGCTCGACTTATAGCCAGTTACAGCTCCCCGGCTCTTCTGTGTGGCAGAGCGTCGTTTCCGGGCCCTCAGGGCTGGGGAGCTCAGTTCCCATTGCTTGTGCTCAGGGCTGAGTCTTAAAGAAGGGTTTGCCGGCCCTAACGCTGCAGCGCGTGCGCGGTGAGAGGCCCTTTTTGAGCCTGTTTACTCCTGTGGCCTTGGGCAGAACAGTAAATACTCTGTGCACGGAGGAAAGACATGCCCAAGAGGAAGGAAGTACTGACCATCGGCTGCCTGTGAGCAGCTTAGCAAGGAGCCCTTGCTCCCTGGGAAAGGCGGTGAACTTGAGTCTAAAGATGCAGTGCCTGGCCCTTCCTAAGGTCCCTGCCTGGCATCCGAGTGTCGGTGTGTGGCACAGAAGGCTCCTGCTTGCTTCCAAAGTGATGGACAGGAAGGGGCAGAGTGAGTCACGGCCCAGACTGGGCACCTTCGCGTCTCAGCCTCAGGGAGCCCCACAGCCCCAAGCTCGCTGAGGCAACGTGAGAACAGGCTATGGGAAGGCTGCAAAGGCTGAGAAATGCAAAGGCTCATATTTATAAATCCCACCCCCAGAGTGGGGAGGGTCAGGTGCCAGACCTGGACTAAACTGCACCAAGGAAACACCCAGCAGGGTCTCCTGTGAGCCGGGGACCATGCAGCCCGAAACCTCCAGTCACTGCGCCCGGCAGGAGTCAGGAGCCAGGGACTGTGCAGCCTGGAACCTCCAGTCACTGTGCCCAGCAGGGTGGGCTGTGCCCAGCAGGAGTCAGGCTAAGAAACGCCAGGTCTGCCTGTTCTTGCTGGGCAATGGCTGATGGCTGCCAGTTTCTGCTGATACACAGGTAGGATGGGACCCTTCATGAATATCTGACTTTAATAAGTTGGTAAGGATATATTTTTTTGTCTATGTTCTGTTTCAACTTATGTAGATTATTATAAATTGATGTAAACCACGTGAGAGGAAAATGTTAATAAAAAATGCAAAGCCCCATCATTTGCACAAAACTCAGCCCTGTGGTGTGGATGTTTGTGTTCGCGGTGGTCCAGGGAAGCCACCAATGTAAATATTTAACTCTTCCAGCTGCATCCAGATGTGAGTTTCCAGGAATCTGTTTACCTAGTTCACTCCCCTTGAGCCTCCCTGTGGCCCACGGGGGCTGGGGCAGAGCTGCGGGGAGGTGGGCTGGAGCCCTCTCCTTGCTCTTCACAAAGGCCTCCGGATCAGCCAGCATCCAGGCTGCTTCTGGCTCACCTTTGCCATGTGCTGCTACAGTACAAATGTCCCACCTGGCCATCGGTGTGCCTTGAAAGTGGCATGAAGTTGTCCACTGAACAGGAAGCGTCTTCTTTTATGTAAACGCTTCTCTACGCTTTCCTTCAAAGTGGCATATCTTTGAGGCAGCCTTTTGGTCTAATCTGCTTGTCAGAGAAGCTGGGTCTCCGAGGGCCCACCCTCCCTTTGAGAGAGTCAGTGGCGTGAATATTGGCTCCCACCAGCCGAAGCAACTGGACACTGAGTTTATTCTGAAGATCAGGAACAGATGTCTCTGAAAATTGCTGTTTGGTTTATGAGCTCATACTGGCTCCCCAGCCATCGAAAACAGGAAACTATTCATCTCTCGAGTGAATAGGCAGCGTGGACAATGCCTCGCTTACTGAACCGATGGGTACTGACAGCCCTGGCGCTCATCTTTTCCAAGGCTGTTGTGAGGGCAGCATCTCTTGTATTTGGTCCCACGTGCTAGACTGAAAGATGGAAGATCCCAGGCATCCTAGGACTTTGACAGGTACCAGGTGGGAATGTCTGCCCTTGCTTCAGAGTGCTTGTAGGTGTCCTATATTTAGGGACAGCAGAGGAAACAATTTGTTCTGAGCTCTAGGGAACGCTCCAACTGGCCTAGCAGTGATGAAGCCTCCTAGCTGTGAGACTGGGAGGGGCGTTATATAGAATTCACTGTAAAAGGACATGAGCCCTGAGCAGGAACTCACATTCATTCCAAGAAAATGGCAAACATGACCCAAGGAAGGTGTTACCAGCTGGGTTTGACATCATCACTCATGTACAAACACTCGGGCCTCCAGGCCATGTACACTGAGTGTGAACGCTGGTTAAGAGTGTGTGGGCCAGAAGACAGGGCAGATGAGGAAGAAGGCAAAAAAGGAAAGGATAGAGGAATTACCGTATTATAGGAAAAAGGAGACTCATCACCACTGGCTGAAGGTGCCCAGCACTGTGTGGCCCCCACCAAGCGACCTGCCTGTGCCCCACCCAAGAGCAAAGGCCTGACTCCAGCAGTGTCATCCCCCCACAGAGCACCAGGGTAAAGCAGCACCAGTGCTGAAGCCCAACTGTAGACGGATTTTTTTTTTTTTTTTTTTAATATCCATGGCACACAACTAGGCCAAGAAAAATACCACAAGGTCAAGTCGAAAACACGACATGTTAAAACACTTCCTTGACCCTGGAGAACGAGGATGGTGGTGAACAGCCCCTCAGCGACGTCTGATCTTGGCCAGTAGCTGCTGTGACCGAGTCACCAAGATGACCACAGCAGGACCCTTCACATGTGGCCTCAAGCTCGGCCAGGTCCAGCAGTCACGTCGTGAAGGCAGTGTGTGCCTCTCGGCCGGCACAGGAGGGGCCCATCGAGTTCATGGATGGGATTTCACTGCATCCCAGGAAAAGGCTGGGCTGGGCTTCTTGAGGCAGGCCCTGGCAGATGTAATGAGCTTGGTGAGGATGACACAGTCCTCTAACAACCCTGCCTCAGCGCCCCATCCCCCGCTTCCCTGGGAGCTTTCTCATTCTTTCCCTTCAGATGTTATCTTTGGGCCACCCGGCACTATTTTTGGAATAGGGAATTTGAAAATAAAATACAAATAAACCAACCTTTTGAACTGTAAGGTGTGTGGCGGTGGGGGAGGGGAGTGTATTTTTAAAAAAAAAACAAGGATGACAGAACACAAAACAAGTGAGATAATTGGTTGGACGGCATCAGTCCGCCTTGCCCTGCCCTGGTATTCGAGACGGATAGTTGCATGGAGTTCCAAGGTAGAACAGCTTCCTGAGTGCCTGCAGAGACACTGTCACCTCTGTGCCCACAACACCAAACAACCTAGAGGGCCAGCTGTGGTCAGGCCTGAAGCTTTGTGGAGCTGAATTCCTATATGTCAACATCCTGTCTCCCGATCTGCTGTGAGAGAATCTGGCACGGGACGTCCTCTGTGAAGGCTGGCTGGAGTCCAGGAGCAGCAAAGTGTGGCTACCCCAAAGGCTGGAGGCAGAGAAGCCAGGCAGCTCCCTCAGAATACCAACGACATGAGGGAAAATGAATGTCTTCAGGCCCTGAAGCAAGGCCCTGGTGTGGTACAGAAACTGTCCTCCAGAGAGCAGCCCGGATCCGGGGCTGGCATCATCCTTCCCTGCAGGCAATTACTCTCACCGGAGGTAATAATCAATCGCAGCAGAGAAAGCAGCAAAACCTCCACAACCAATGGCCCCAGCCTTTAAGCCAGCTGTCAAACAAACAGAAAGAACATGACCTGTGGTGACAGCTGCTGGGTCACGAGGCACTCACGGAAAGTTGGCACACCCTCAGTGTCATGAAATGAGCTTAAGCACTGTAAGTCATTCAAACGATCATAGCTCTGGAAGACATCAATGAAGCAGTGTATATGATCTAATCCAGTGCGCTTTATCTAACTACATTTGTTTAGCTTTTCTCCTTCAAAGGGTATTTCTAGTCTTAGGGAAATAGCCCCTCGCAGGCAGGAAACTGGTTGAGAGAAGCAGCCCTCGGAATCAAATGAAAGCATATGGCCTTGACCCTGATTTGTTTATGGAATACATTCCTGGGAAGGTGATCAAAGCAGTACTGGAGACAGCAGAGCTTCTCAAAGAGGCCCTGGTGAAGCTGAACAATGGGACGACCGGCGGAGAAGTCAGTCCGTCATCATAAATGGTGCTTGAGGAGCAAAACCAGGTTTCATGACAGCAAATCATCCTGTCTCTCAGAAGATGAGAAAACTGGCTTTTTGCTCTGGGTAAGTTAGGGCATGACAGATGGAAAGTGGCCCAGTGATAAAACACTGCTGCTTCTAGGAAAGTCAAGTCACCAAGGCCCTCCACCACGCTCTGAATGGACATGCCAACGGGGAGAAGAGGCAGCAAATTGGTTTTCTTTTTTTTTTTTTTTTTGCAGCTGATAATCTAATATTTCTAGAATATCTGTACTTAGCATTCAATGGGTAGAAATCAGAATCCCCAAGGGCAGAAAGATATTACCATTATAATTTATATCTAAAATTAAAAGACAATTGTCTAGAATTACTGAGAAAAATGTTGGCCACACGTGGTGGCTCATGCCTGTAATCCCAGCACTTTGGGAGGCTGAGGCAGGCAGATCACGAGGTCAGGAGTTCGAGACCAGGTGAAATTGATCTCTACTAAAAAAATAAAAATTAGCTGAGCATGGTGGCGGGTGCCTGTAATCCCAGCTACCTGGGAAGCTGAGGCAGGGGAATCGCTTGAACCCAGGAGGTGGAGGTTGCAGTGAGCTGACATCGTGCCACTGCACTCCAGCCTGGGCGACAGAGTGAGATTCGGTCTCTTTAAAAAAAAAAAAGTTGTTACAACGGACGGGGGTGCTACTTGCATCTCGTGGGTAGAGGCCAGGGATACTGCTCAACGTCTTAGAATGCACAAAACAGACCCAATCCCGACAAAGATTCGTCTGGTCGAAATGTCAGTAGTGCCAACGATGGGAAACCCTCATCTAGATCCTACAAGTTTCCAAAACCGAGTTACCACAGAAACAAACATGATTTATTTGTCAGAGGGAAGAAGATCAAGTGTCCCTGGAACACTCGTGTGTTTGGAAATGACAACCTCAGCACGTTGTCCAAGGCCACAAAGAAAAAGCATTCGAGAGCCGTTTACTAACCTCTGAAACCAATAGCTCCTCCCGTGATGCAGCCACTGATGACACTGTTCTTCCAGTCTGATGTTCCCCGGTACTGTGGGCAGGGAAGTACACGTTAGAGCCAAAGAAACAAGCCAAGGCAGACCATTAAGGAGGAATACACAGGGTTGCTCGTTAGCTCATTCAGTCCCTACCCAAAGGAAACCTAATCTTTCTTGAAAATATAGTTCCTAAGTATACAGCGTGTATATATATATATATATATATATATATATATATATAGTATGCGTTCATAGATGCTTCCTGCAGGTGGCACCAGAGTGCTGAAACCAAGCCCAGCATTTGGAATGTAATCAAAATTTCTTCAAGGGGCTCTCCAATAAGTCTCGTTTAAAATCATTAGCTAACTTCTAGCCTACAAAAAGTAAAAAATAATGCAAGCCCATACTGTAAACACACACAAAGTCTGCCACAGGGACTATTTTATGGAAGTTCAACCTAGAATGTATCTGATGCTTCTGATTTGCTTTCTAGTAACAACTTTCAAATGACTTTTAAAGAGCAATTTCTCTTTAAAAGTAATGAAATGGTGGCCCCAGCAAGGATTTCTTAGAAGGCAGAGACACTTACAGATTCTATCAAACACTCAGTACAAGAAAACATGGCTCCCACAATGGCGAAATTTTTGGCATAGGACATTCCTCTCTGCCCCATGTCTTTCAGCACTTCTTTTGCAGTCGGTGTACGGTAAGGATCCTTAGGGTCAAAGCCCACGTTGGTATCGATGCCAGCGGTAAACACCCCAAATGCACCTCCTAAGACAAATCCTAGAAGCAAACACAGAGATGAAGGTGTCTTTGGCATGTTTTCTGCATTACTCTATTGGGATCATCCTGGAAGGGACCATGCTTTTGGATGACCACCGGTGCAGAGGACACCCCCCTCTTGCCACTCAAACTCTCCACTTGCCTGGAGACTTGCAATCCAGGGTCTATGTTACTGACATCATCTTCTCCGTCTCTAAGATTTCTTCCTCCTGTCATTCCCTAACATTTCTCAAGATTCCATCTTTAACCCTCTATTCTCTCTACATTCTCTCATATGTAAACCAGCCACCCTCAACTTCAGCTATCAACTTTGCAAATCACTCTCTTGGCCACTGTGACATTCACAGTAATGCTTTACTGAGCACATGCCAGTATGCCACAGCCTCATTCATTCTTCACAATAATCCAGTGAGACAGATGCTATTAGCCTCTCCTTTCTATAAACTGAGGCTCAGAGAGGTTAAGCAACTTCTCCCAAGGCCACACAGCTACCTAATGGCAAATCCCACACTGCTGCCACATCTGTCCTTCCTGAGCCGGCTGGACATGTCCAGATGGATGCCCTCTCATGACCTCATGGTCAATATGAGTTTAATAAAATCATGGGCACCTCCCCTTCAACTTAAGGGAAAAACAGAAGGACAAGTGCAGACTTCGTCTCTCCTTGCTCGGGGCTGTCTAGTCACAATGGTCTTTCAGTTTTTCAAACCTCAAACAACTGCTGCCCTAGAGTCGTCTGCATGTGCATTTCCATATGTCTGCATCCTTCCTCTGCAGTGTTCCTGCTCAACATTCTTCTCCACATAGTATAATACAGGCCCCATGAAGACCAGGCTCTTGTCTCTTTCACCTGGCACGTGATATTGCTTAGGAACAATTTGTTGAAAGAATTATTTAAGAGAATGAATTTAAGGGAATGAACGGATGAATGAAGTCACCCACGTAATAACTTTTTGTTGTTGTTTTTGAGACGGAGTCTCGCTCTGTCGCCCAGGCTGGAGAGCAGTGGCACATCTCGGCTCACTGCAAGCTCCGCCTCCTGGGTTCAAGCGATTCTCCTGCCTCAACCTCCCGAATAGCTGGGACTACAGGCGCCCACCACCACGTCCAGCTAATTTTTTGTATTTTTAGTAGAGACGGGGTTTCACCGTGTTAGCCAGGATGTCATGTAATAACTTTCAGGCCCCAACCACAGCACCGATTCTCTAACCCAATTTTCATCAGGAAAGCCGGCCTGAGGGGGCAGGAGAGGTGACGCCCGATTCACGAACGAGGCGAGGGTGTGGTCAAGGTCAAGGCCCGCAGTCCCTCGCCTCCCAGGCGCGTGGTCTTCTCGGCAGAGATCCCCACTGCCGTCCAGGCCCTCAGCCTCCCAAGGGTCCCATCGCCCGGCCTCACCTCCCACGCAGGCCAGCGCAGCCTTGAAAGCGCAGCTTTCCATCGCCTTCTCGATCATCTTCTGCTCCTCACTCTTGGCTGGACTTGGGATCCCGCCCAGGCTCCCAGGCTCCAGGAGCCGGGGCTGACGCTTGTCACCCACCAGGTACTGCAGGAGCAGGCTGTACTGCAGCGGAGCTTCGGCGGAACCCGCTGTCTCAGGGGCCGAGCCTCCGGCATTGGGGGCGGCCGCCGCCATGACAGTCGCTGCCCAAGCAACCCTCGCGTCCTTCTCCCCGCAGCAGATTCGACAAGCGTCACGTTGCGGGCCCTGAGACTAGCCACTGTGATGCAACGGCAGATTCGCCGCAGGAGGAAGCCGCGGCCGCAACGCTCCTGGTGCGCACACCAGCGAGACCGCTATCATGTTTCCAAAAAGAAAGCCTCTTGTGAAAATGGAATTGGGCTTGGACAGCTTTCCCCATGTCACAGACAAACGAGATTCAGATTCACCAGAAAGCGCCCTCACGGTCGGGGCTGCAGCGCGGTGAGTACCGGGATTTGTAGTTCTAATCCGACACCCAACTACATTTCCCAGGAAGCGTTGCGCGTGCTCTCGCGCCTCGGCCCCGCGCGGGGCTCTTACGAGCTCCTGAGGGGAGCGAGGAGTGGCCGCGCGCTCCGGGGCTGCCGTGCTCCGGATCGCCGGGAGGGGACGCGCGAGCATTGTCGCTGCCCTTTCCACCTCGTGCTGTCATCGGGCGGTGAGGCGTTAAATCCCGTGGTCCCGGAAGGTGCGGTGAGAGGTGGATGCTTTGTAGATAAGCGTGAACTTGTGCTGTAAATGCACGGACCGGGCGCGGGGGCTCACGCCTGTCATCCAGCACTGTGGGAGGCCGAGGCCGGTGGATCACGAGGTCAGGAGTTCGAGACCAGTCTGACAAACATGGTGAAACCCCATCTCTACTAAAAATTAAAAAAATAAAAAATAAAAAAATTAGCTGGGCATGGTGGTGCACGCCTGTATTCTCAGCTACTTAGGAGGCTGAAGCAGGAAACCCCGTCTCTACTAAAAATATAAAAATTAGCCAGGTGGCGGCAGGCGCCTGTAATCTCAGTTACTCGGGAGGCTGAGACAGGAGAATCTCTTAAACCCGGGAGGTGGAGGTTGCAGTGAGCCAAGATCGCACCATCGCACTCCAGCCTGGGCGACAAGAGCAAGACTCCGTCTCAAAAAAAAAAAAAAAAAAAAAAAAATCCTAACTGACAGCATTTGCTGACTTGTGTGGTGTTAATATCCCCATCATGGCTGATTTCAAACTACCAAGCGAGGTCATCAGTCAGAATTGGGAAGACGTACAGCAGCATGTGGTTACATGGTGTTTCTATCACACAGATACAATCTATGGAAATAACCTCAACAGCATAGATAGGAGTACAGTGTAGTAAAATTTTTAGGAGGGGATGAGTTTTGAGCACATATTACCTATTTTTAGTGTAATTTATTATAAATGTATAGAATGTAATTTTTAATAATAACTGTGCTTAACAACCAGCTCAAAAACTCCTGATAATTTGTTGCCTTACTTTTTAAAATTACTCTTTTGAGACAGAGTCTTGCTCTGTCACCCAGGTTGGAGTGCAGTGGTGCAATCTCCGCTCACTGCAACCTGCACCTCCCGGGTTTGAGCGATTCTCCTGCCTCAGCCTCCCGACTAGCTGGGATTACAGGCACATGCCACCATGCCCGGCTAATTTTTGTATTTTTAGTAGAGACAAGGTTTCACCATGTTGGCCAGGCTGGTCTCAAACTCCTGACCTCAGGTGACCCACCCACCTCGGCCTCCCAAAGTGCTTGGATTCCAGGCGTGAGTCACTGCGCCCGGCCAGTTAGGGCCTTTTTGTTATTGTTGTTAAACATTTACCATTATACCACTGCACTGCAAGCATATTTTGGGAACCAAGAACACTTCCTCCTCTTTGAGGAAACCAGAATTGGGGCCTGGAGGCAGAGAAATTGGGAATGGATTTCTGGTCATATCCAGGAAAATCCTAGGGGATGTTGGAGAGAGGTTTTCAGTCCCAAGAATGCTAACACTTTGGCATCATTTTGTACTCCTCGTATGAACAAAACGTGGCCTGGGAACACCTCTGGGCATTTAAGCACACTTTTTGCTAATGGCCTGAAGGCAGTGCCGTAGCAAGCATCTGCCTACTTGGGCCAGGGACTCTCAGAAGATGTTGATCGGAAAAGATTCCTCTGCTGGGCATGGTGGCTCACACCTGTAATCCCAGCACTTTGGGAGGCTGAGGCAGGAAAATTGCTTGAGTCTGGGAAGTTGAGACTGCAGTGAGTCATGATCGTGCCACTGCACTCCAGCATGGACGAGGGAACGAGACCCTGTCTCAAAAAAAAGAAAAAAAAAAGATTAAGTAAACAGTGGTCATTTTATTCAGAGGGCTGAAAAACAATTTCCATCAAGGGCTGCGAAAGGGCTGGGGTGTTCCATAGCCCAGGAGCCTCACAGGTATGTCTGAGTTGTAAGAGGAAGTGAAGTGTCCTTCTTTTAAGGGTCTTGGCTGGGCGCGGTGGCTCACACCTGTAATCTCAGCACTTTGGGAGGCTGAAGCAAGGTCAAGAGATCGAGACCATCCTGGCCAACATGATGAAACCCTGTCTCTGCTAAAAATACAAAAATTAGCTAGGCATAGTGGCTGCACCCCTGTAGTCCCAGCTACTCAGGAGGCTGAGGCAGCAGAATCGCTTGAACCCACGAGGCGGAGCTTGCAGTGAGCCGAGATGGTGCCACTGTACTCCGGCCTGGAGACAGACGGAGACTCCGTGTCAAAAAAAAGAAAAAAAAGGTGGGGGTTGGGTCTTTGGGGTCCCAGAGAAGAAATGGGTGGGACCTAAGGAGCCATACTGGAAACCATACTTTTGGGACATGTTGCCCGAGATGAGGATGGAATACCCCACCCGGCAGAAATGGAGACCAGACAGCTGCACAGTCTTATGTGAGGGTGGATTATGTGAGGTGGATTATGTGAGGGTGGATTATGTGAGGGGTGGATTATGTGAGGGTGGATTATGTGAGGTGGATTATGTGAGGTGGATTATGTGAATGTGGGTGGATTATGTGAGGGTGGATTATGTGAGGGTGGATTATGTGAGGGTGGATTATGTGAGGGTGGATTATGTGAGGTGGATTATGTGAGGGTGAATTATGTGAGGGTGGATTATGTGAGGTGGATTATGTGAGGGTGGATTATGTGAGGTGGATTATGTGAGGGTGGATTATGTGAGGTGGATTATGTGAGGTGGATTATGTGAGTGTGGATTATGTGAGGGTGGGTGGATTATGCGAGGTGGATTATGTGAGGTGGATTACGTGAGGGTGGATTATGTGAGGGTGGATTATGTGAGGGCGGATTATGTGAGGTGGATTATGTGAGGGTGGGTTATGTGAGGGGTGGATTATGTGAGGTGGATTATGTGAGGTGGATTATGTGAGGGGTGGATTATGTGAGGTGGATTATGTGAGGGTGGATTATGTGAGGTGGATTATGTGAGGGTGGATTATGTGAGGTGGATTATGTGAGGTGGATTATGTGAGGTGGATTATGTGAGTGTGGATTATGTGAGGGTGGATTATGTGAGGGTGGATTATGCGAGGTGGATTATGTGAGGGTGGGTGGATTATGCGAGGTGGATTATGCGAGGTGGATTATGTGAGGTGGATTATGTGAGTGTGGATTATGCGAGGGTGGATTATTTGAGGGTGGATTATGTGAGGCGGATTATGTGAGAGTGGATTATGTGAGGGTGGATTATGTGAGGGTGGATTATGTGAGGTGGATTATGTGAGGGTGGATTATGTGAGGGTGGATTATGTGAGGGTGGATTATGTGAGGTGGATTATGTGAGGGTGGATTATGTGAGGGTGGATTATGTGAGGTGGATTATGTGAGTGTGGGTGGATTATGTGAGGTGGATTATGTGAGGGGTGGATTATGTGAGGGTGGATTATGTGAGGTGGATTATGTGAGGTGGATTATGTGAGGGTGGATTATGTGAGGGTGGATTATGTGAGGTGGATTATGTGAGGGTGGAGTGGCTCTTAGCTTTTCTCTCTGAATCACTTTCCCCACAAGAGGACATTTATCGTCTGGCCTGGTCTGACAGATGGAATAAGGCTTGACGTCGCTGGCTGCAGCAGATGGAAACAAGGCAGGGGGCGTGGGGCCTCCAGCCGTGAGTCGTGGGTTCCCACGGGCAGCCGGTGATAAAGAGCACTCCAGGCTCCGGATGGGGTCCTCCAGGCCCAGCCCTGAGCACCGTCGGTCCCTCCCTTCTGTCTCCACAGTGAAGGGCACGTAATAGCATCATCTGTTCATCTTCATAGAGTATTGGCCTGGTGAGGGGCTGGGCTTACTGGAGGTCCGTGAGGCTGTCCTAAACCATCACTGAGAACCAGGTGGTTAAGCTGCTGAGCGCAGAGTTAGTTTCTGACTCAGAAAGGTCTGAGGTGGGTGTGAAATTTTGGATTTCCCAGGTGATGCTACTGCTGGTTGGGGACCACATTTTTTTTTTCTTTTTTCTGAGATGGAGTCTCGCTCTGTCGCCCAGGCTGGTGTGCAATGGTGCGATCTCAGCTCACTGCAACCTCCATTACCCAGCTTTAAGTGATTCTCCTGCCTCAGCCTCCTGACCCCAGCTACAGGCGTGAGCCACCACGCCCAGCTAATTTTTTTGTATTTTTAGTAGAGACGGAGTTTCACCATGTTGGCCAGGCTGCTCTTGAACTCCTGACCTCAAGTGATCTGCCCGCCTTGGCCTCCCAAAGTGCTGGGATTACAGATGTGAGCTGCCACACTCAGACCCTTGTGAACTTTTGCTAGTAATTCTTTTTTCTTCTCACAACACTCCACTCATGCCCCTCAGCTCTGTCTTTAAATATTCCTGCCCTTCAAAACTTACCTTTTCTGATTAATCTAATTGGAAGTAATGTCTTCTCTGAGCCTCTTTTTTTCTTTTTGAGACAGGGTCTTTCTTTGTGGCCCAAACTGGAGTGCAGTGGCCCCATCATGGCTCACTGCAGCCTCGATCTCCTGGGCTCAAGGGATCCTCCTACCTCGACCCTGCCAAGTAGCTGGGACCATGGGCATGTACCACCATGCCGGGGTAATGGGCTAATGTTTTTTTTTTTTGAGATGGAGTCTTGCTCTGTTGCCCAGGCTGGAGTGCAGTGGTGTGATCTCGGCTCAGTGCAAGCTCCGCCTCCTGGGTTCACGCCATTCTCCTGCCTCAGCCTCCCGAGTAGCTGGGACTACAGGCGCCCGCCACCACGCCCAGCTAATTTTTTGTGTTTTTAGTAGAGACGGGGTTTCACCGTGTTAGCCAGGATGGTCTCGATCTCCTGACCTCGTGATCCGCCCACCTCAGCCTCCCAAAGTGCTGGGATTACAGGTGTGAGCCACCGTGCCCCGGGCTAACTTTTAAAAACCTTTTTTATAGAAACTGGTTCTTACTCTGTTGCCCAGACTGGTCTCAAACTCCTGGGCTCAAGCAATCCTCCCACCTCAGCCTCCTAAAGTGCTGGGGTTACAGGTGTGAGCCACCGTGCCCCGGGCTAACTTTTAAAAACCTTTTTTACAGAAACTGGTTCTTACTCTGTTGCCCAGACTGGTCTCAAACTCCTGGGCTCAAGCAATCCTCCCACCTCAGCCTCCCAGAGTGCTGGGGTTACAGGTGTGAGCCACCGCACCGGCCTCTTAATTAATAGGCTCTTAACTGGTTTTGGAGCCTCCTACCTTGCTCTTCTCCAAACTATTCACAGAATGATCTTCCCACACAGGACTGTGAACGTGCTCCCTGCTCTGGATTCTACTTCATGCCAGGATAAAATCTGAACTCAACGTGTTGCTTTTACAACTAGTGCCCAGGAAGACACAGGTGCTTCCGTCCAGGTTTAGTTCTTTTTTTTTGAGACAGAGTCTTGCTTCTTCACCCAGGCTGGAGTGCAATGGTGAGATCTCGGCTCACTGCAACCTCTGCCTCCCGGGTTCAGCAGTTCTCCTGCCTCAGCCTCCCAAGTAGCTGGGATTACAGTCATGTGCCAGCACGCCCGGCTAATTTTTTGTATTTTTAGTAGAGATGGGGTTTCACCAGGCTGACAAGAATGGTTTTGAACTCCTGACCTCAAGTGATCTGCCCGCCTTGGCCTCCCAAAATGCTGGGATTACAGGTGTGAGCCACTGTGCCTGGCCTAGGGGTACAAGTTATAATCCTCAGATTTGATCTGAAAAGTATTGGGATTACAGGCATGAGCCACCGTGCCCAGCCTAGGGGTATGAATTATAATCCTCAGATCTGATCTGAAAAGTATTGGAAGCAGATAGAAAAATGCACAGTGTTTTCTCCAGCACTTTACACTTCTACAAGAAAGTCAGAAAAGAGTTAGGAAAGTTGTTTAGGAACTAGAGACTAATGGCCGGGCATGGTGGCTCATGCCTGTAATCCCAGCACTTTGGGAGGTCAAGGCAGGAGGATCACTTGAGCCCAGGAGTTCAAGACCAGCCTCGGCCACATAGTGAGACTGTGTCTCTACAAAAAAATACAAAAATTAGGCTGGGTTTGGTGGCTAACACCTGTAATCCCAGCACTTTGGGAGGCCGAGGCAGGCAGATCACGAGTTCAGGAGATCGAGACCATCCTGGCTAACATGGTGAAACCCTGTCTCTATTAAAAATACAAAAAATTATCCAGGCATGGTGGCGGGTGCCTGTGGTCCCAGCTACTCAGGAGGCTGAGGCAAGAGAATGGCGTGAACCCAGGAGGTGGAGCTTGCAGGAGCTTGCAGATCACGCCATTGCACTCCAGCCAGGGCAACAGAGCAAGACTCCGTCTCTAAAAAAACAAAAAATACAAAAATTAGCTCGGCATGGTGACATGTGCCTGTAGTCCCAGCTACTTGGGAGGCTGAGGTGGGAGGATTGCTTGAGCCCAGGAGGTCAAGGCTTCAGTGAGCCATCATCGTACCACTGCACTCCAGCCTGGGCGACAGAGTGAGAACCATCTCAAAAAAGAAAAACAAAAAAGCAACCCAGAGACCAGACTTGTCCTGCTTTGCTAAGGGATAAAAGGAATAATAGAAAGAATAATAAATCACGGTGGCTCCCCAAAGTTATATATCAAGTTGGTGCCAGAAAGATCTGCACCACACTTCTGCCATAGCCAGTGAGAACAACGATCTTCTCCCCCTTTCTTCGTCTTGATCCTTGTCAGATCTCGCCTCCATATTCTGCTGTATGCACTTCTCTATCAGGTAATTTCATTTATTAGTGGATCTGCCACAAAATACCGACTTTTTAAAAAGGAAAATATAAAACAGACATTAAAGCTTATAATACAGGCCGGGTGCGGTGGCTCACACCTGTAATCCCAGCACTTTGGGAGGCTGAGGCGGGCGGATCACCTGAGGTCAGGAGTTCAAGACCAGCCTGACCAACATAGTGAAACCCTGTCTTTACCAAAAATGCAAAAATTAGCTGGTGGTGGCGGGCGTCTGTAGTCCCAGCTACTCTGGAGGCTGAGGCAGGAGAATGGCGTGAAACCGGGAGGCGGAGCTTGCAGTGAGCCGAGATTGTGCCATTGCACTCCAGCCTGGGCGACAGAGCGAGACTCTGTCTCAAAAAAAAAAAAAAAAAAAAAAGAATTACAAATGGGGCCGGGTGCAGTGGCTCATGCCTATAATCCCTGCAGTTCAGAAGGCCAAGCCGGAGGATCCCTTGAAGTCAAGAGTTCAAGACCAGCCTGGGCAGCATAGTGAGACCTCTATCTCTAAAAAAAAAAAAAGAAAGAAAGAAAGAAAATAAATTAGCCGGGCATGGTGGAGTGCACCTGTAATTCCAGCTATGCGGGAGGCTGAGGTGGGAGGATCACTTGAGCCCAGGAGTTGGAGGCTGCAGTGAGCCATGATCACAGCACTATACCCAGCCTGGGTGACAGAGCAAGACCCCATTTCTTTTTTTTTTCCTTTTTTTTTTTTTTTTGAGATGGAGTCTCACTGTGTCACCAGGCTGGAGTGCAGTGGTGTGATCTCGGCTCACTGCAACATCCGCCTCCCGGGTTCAAGCGATTCTCCTGCCTCAGCCTCCTGAGTAGCTGGGATTACAGGCATCCACCACCACACCCAGCTAGTTTTTGTATTTTCAGTAGAGACGGGGTTTCACCATGTTGGCCAGGATGGTCTCAATCTCTTGACCTCGTGATCCACCCACCTCGGCCTCCCAAAGTGCTGGGATTATAGGCGTGAGCCACTGCACCTGGCCAAGACCCTGTTTCTTTAAAAAAAAAAAAAAAGACAAGTTGTAGGTTAGTATTTCCTACCTCTTCTGCACCCTCCTTTCTCTTGTGCTACGTCTTAAAGATACCCCATGTCAGAGTGTGTGATGGGCAATTGTGTGTGCCAACTTGACTGGGCCGTTTAGTGTCCAGATATTTAACGGCAACTCAATCCTCATTTGGGCGTGTTAGCCTGACCTAGTTATAGAGCAACCTGAAAATCTGCTAGCTTTGAGAGGGACCAGAGCGAGAGAACGCACTGTAGCAGGTTCCGACTGTGATGCAAGCTGCTCTCCACGTGGGCCACGTGATCCAGCTGATCCAGTGATGCTTGAAGAGACCGTGGCAGACAAGGATGCTGTTTGCAGCCTTTGGCAGGCCCCGTAGGTGAATCGCAGAGCAAGCCTGTAGGATTTTGGAGCAAAGCTCTGCCATCCTGTGGACAGTACTCTCCTTTTGAGACACAGCTTTTGGACTGCTACTGGGCCTTCTTGGAGACTGATGCTTAGCCATGGGCCACGGAGTTACCATGTGGCCTGAGCTGCCCGTCGTGAACTGGAGGTTCTCTGACCCATCAAGCCATACAGTTGGGTGTGCACAGCAGCACCGTGCTTCACCATCTAATGGAAATAGTATACACGTGACTGGGCCCAAGCAGGCCCTGAAGGCACCAGGAAGTTAGATGGAGAAGCAGCTTCAAAGGCCCTTGGTTCCCACTGCCACGACTCCACCCTGCCTTCCCTTTCCCAGCCTGCACCTCTAGCATCATGGGGAGTCCTCCATGATCAGCTGACAGAGAAAGCGAAGACTCACATCCCAGTTTGCAGATGGTTCTGTACGACGTGCAGTCTCCGCCCGAAACTGAGCAGCTGTTGCCCTCCAGCCTCTTCCTTGGACATTCCCGAAGGACAGCGGTGGGGGCAGATCCTCCCGGTGGGCAGACGTTGGCGCAGTGCACCTGGTTGTTGGTTGTGCTTGGAAGGAGAAATGGCTGGACGTGAGAGCACACACCGATTCACCGACCGTAGCCAATGATTTGCCTGGAGAGTCAGGGACTTGGAAGGAACATGATTGGAAAATTAGTGACAAGGAAACCGAGGGAACTGAGAGAAGAGGTATGTGGGCAAAAACCGGACGATACGTGTGTCCCATGTAAATGCTCGCCAAAGGGTGGCCTCACCAGGGAAGAGTTCGAATCTTCAAGCGATAGGATGGCCCGTTCTCTGGGTGCTGCTCAGCCTCTCTCCCCCGACACCACAGTTAGTGCCCAGTGGGCTCATGAACAAAGTGGCCATGGGGGGCAGGGATAAAGGTTATTCATGGGCTCACAGCACAGACTGTTACTCACTATGGCCATCCTGGCTGCAGCCATGGCTGAAAGCCCCATCTGCCAGCAACAGAGACCAACCCTGAGCCCCTGAAATGATGCCATTCCCTGGGGTGATCAGCCAGCGACCCAGTGACCCCATTCCCTGCGGTGATCAGCCAGCAACCCGGTGACCCCATTCCCTGGGGTGATCAGTCGGTGACCCCATTCCCTGGGGTGATCAGCCAGCGACCCAGTGACCCCATTCCCCGGGGTGATCAGCCGGTGACCCCAATCCCTGGGGTGATCAGCCAGTGACCCCATTCTCTGGGGTGATCAGCCAGCGACCTGGTGACCCCATTCCCTGGGGTGATCAGTTGGTGACCCCATTCCCTGGGGTGATCAGCCAGCGACCCGGTGACCCCATTCCCTGGGGTGATCAGCCGGTGACCCCAATCCCTGGGGTGATCAGCCAGTGACCCCATTCTCTGGGGTGATCAGCCAGCGACCCGGTGATCCCATTCCCTGGGGTGATCAGTTGGTGACCCCATTCCCTGGGGTGATCAGCCAGTGACCCGGTGACAGGTTGGTGACACTGGATCACTTCCATCACGGAAGGGGCAGCATTTTGTCCTCACTGGAATAGACACTTACTCTAGATCGGGATTTGCCTTCCCTGTACGTCACGCTCCTGCCAAAACTAGCATCCGTGGACTCACAGAATGCCGTACCTACTGTCACGGTATGCCACACCGCACTGCTTCTGTCTGAGGAACTCCCTTCACAGCAAAGAAAGTATGGTAACGAGCCCATGCTCATGGAATTCCCCGGTACGACCATGTTGCCCACCATCTTGAAGCAGCTGGTTTGATAAGATGGTGGAATGGCCTTTTGAAGACTCCACTACAGCACCAGCTGGGTGGCGATGCCTTGCAGGGCTGGGCCAGAGTTCTGCAGGAGGCAGTATATGCTCTGAATCAGAACTGAGTGTAGGGTGCTGTTTCTCCCACAGCCAGGATTCATGGGTCCGGGAATCAAGGGGTGGCAATGAGAGGGGCACCAGTCCCTAGCACTCCTAGTGACCCAGCAGCAAGATGTTTGTTTCCTGTTCACGTGACCTTATGCTCTGCTGGCCTAGGGGTCGTATTTCCAAATGGAGGAATGTTTCCCCCAGAAGACCCAACAGTGGTGCCATTGAACTCCAAGTGAGGACTTCTGCTGGGCCTGTTTGGCCTCCCACTGCCTCTGAATCAACAGGCAGATAAGAGAGTTACTGTGCTGGCTGGGGTGATTGATCCTAGATTGGACCACAAGTCCACAATTGAGGTGAGCAAGAGTATGTCTGGAATAGAGGCCCCTCAGGGTGTCCTAGTAGACCATGGCCTATGATTTAGGGCAATGGAAAAACCACAAGAATTCAATCCAGGCAGGACTACCAAGGGCCCAGACCTTTCAGGAATGAAAGTTTGGGTCACCCACCAGGAAAAGACCCACAACCAGCTGAGGTGCTTACTGAAAGCAAAGGGAATACATAATGGATAGTGAAAGGTCATTATAAATACCAGCCACAACCCATGGCCAGTTACAGAAACACGGGCTGGAATGATCATGGATATTTCCTACTTGTTTTGTTAGGAATACGTTTCTCTGTGTTTATATACTGGCAAACCTCAAGATATTGCAGCTCTGGTTCCAGATTACAACAATAAAACTAATATCACAGGCCAGGCGCAGTGGCTCACACCTGTAATCCCAGCACTTTGGGAGGCTGAGGTGAATGGATCACCTGAGGTCAGGAGTTTGAGACCAGCCTGGCCAACATGGTGAAACACTGTCTCTACTAAAAATACAAACAAAATAGCTGGGCGTGGTGATACGCACCTATAATCCCAGCTACTCATGAGGCTGAGGCAGGAGAATGGCTTGAACCAGGAAGGCAGAGGTTGCAGTGAGCCAAAATCACGCTATTGCACTCCAGCCTGGACAACGAATGAAGCTTCATCTCAAAAAACAAAAACAAAAACAAAACAGCTGGGCGTGGTGGCTCACACCTGTAATCCCAGCACTGTGGGAGGCCGGGGCGGGTGGATCACGAGGTCAGGAGATCGAGACCATCCTGGCTAATATGGTGAAACCCTGTCTATACTAAAAATACAAAAATTAGCCGGTCGTCCTGTCAGGTGCCTGTAATCCCAGCTACTTGGGAGGCCGAGGCAAGAGAATGGCATGCACCAGGGAGGCGGAGCTTGCAGTGAGTGGAGATGGCACCACCACACTCCAGCCTGGGTGACAGAGCGAGACTGCGCCTCAAAAAAAAAAAAAAAAAAAAAGATGCTAATGATCATTTGAGCCTTTAGCAAGTTGAAATCATTTTGCTGGTGGAGGGTCTTGCCTCAATATTGATGGCTGCTGGTGACTGATCAGGATGGTGGTTGCTGAAGGTTGGGTGGCTGTGGTAAAAGCGCTTAAAATCAGACTGCAGCGAAGCTTGCCGTATCCATCATCTCTCCCTCTCAAGAAAGATTTCTCTGTAGCGTGCGATGCTGTTTGATAGCATTTTACCCACAGTAGAACTTCTTTCAAAATTGGAGTCAGTCCTCTCAAACCTTACCGCTGCCTTATTAAGTTGACGTTCTAACTGTCTTTGCTCATCTACAAGAAGCAACTCCTCACCTGCTACAGTTTGGTCATGAGACTGCAGCCATCTCAGCCCCATCTTCAGGCTTCACCTCTCATTCTAGTTCTCATTGTTTCTACCGCATCCGCACTTTCTTCCTTCACGGAAGACACGTGTGATGGTTGGAATCAACTTCTTCCAAACTCCTGTTAACGTTGATATTTTGATCTTCTCCCATGAGTCACGAATGCTTTTTTTTTTTTTTTTTAAGAAAAAGTCTTGCTCTGTCACCCAGGCTGGAGTGCAGTGGCACAGTCATGGCTTACTGCAGCCTCGACCTCCTGGGCTCAATCGATCCTCCCACCTCAGCCTCCTGAGTAGCTGGGACCATGGGTGTGCGCCACCACACCCAGCTAATTTTTTAATTTTTAGTAGAGATGGGATTTTGCCATGTTGCTCAGGCTAGTCTTGAACTCGTGACCTCAGGTGATCCGCCCACCTTGGCCTCCCACAGTGCTGGGATTCCAGGCATGAACCACCGCGCCCGGCCCACATCATGTGTGCTACTCTTTCTAAAGTCCAAGGACTGTGATTTATGAATCTTAAAAGTGACAAATATATATTTGTGCTGTGTGTATTTCGTATGACTTCATGTGCCTTCAAAAGCAATTTCTGAAGAGAAAATTCTAATATGTTCTACAGAATGCGATACATGTTGAGGCTCATTCCTACATATTTTAAAACAATAATAATTTTCAGAATAGCCAAGTCGATTCATGTAACATCGCTAGCTGAACACCAGTGGGGACATTCTCCTTTAGAGAACCACATACACAGAGAGCAAGATTTCTGTAGCCCAGAGCACACTGGCTAATTCTTCACAGGATGCCAAATGACTCCTTGGGCTTCTTATAACACCCACTACAATTATGATTCTGGGATCATTTCCATTGCAAATCCCCTCTTTCCACACCCCTTTAAAAGGCAGCTGTGATATTTGGCCTCTAACCAAGGCCTGCCGCATCCACAATTCTCTAAATTTTATTTATATTTCATGTGCAGTGTGTTCGAACTCTCCCTTCCCCAGGTGCCAGATGCTGGTTTGGACACACTCCAGTGGAAAGTGCTTTCCTGTTAAATAAGACAAGTCACACATGGAAGAAACCTCCTCTTTATATCAGACTTGCACCAAGTATACCAAAGTTAATACTCGAATATTTGCAATATTTGCAGCCCCCCAAATTCCCTCTTCACCGGCCTCCACACCAAATGCCTCTTGCCCTTTGGCTGCCGTAGCAGGTAAATGCTGATAGCCCTTTTACATTTCTGTAGTTTTCATAATTTTGAAAGTGTCAGAGTGTAGGACTCTAACACTCTTTCAGTAGTGCCTAACCCACGTACCCAGTGCATGGGCCTTTCAGATAAGATTTGGATGAGATGATAAAACATTGTAACCCATTTACAGGATTTCAAAAGATGTCTAGTAACTATGTGTGTGTGTGTGTGTGTGTGTGTGTGTGTGTATATATATACTTTTTTTTTTTTTTTGAGATGGAGTCTCTCCCTGTCGCCCAGGCTGGAGTGCAGTGGTGCGATCTCGGCTCACTGCAAACTCCGCCTCCCGGGTTCATGCCATTCTCCTGCCTCAGCCTCCCGAGTAGCTGGGACTACAGGTGCCCGCCACCTCGCCCGGCTAATTTTTTGTATTTTTAGTAGAGACGGGGTTTCACTGTGTTAGCCAGGATGGTCTCAATCTCCTGATCTCATGATCTGCCCGCCTCGGCCTCCCAAAGTATTGGGATTACAGGTGTGAGCCACCTCACCTGGCCTAGTAACTTAATATATATGATATGAGTAGCTTTAAATGTTTTCACCAAGGCCGGGTGGTGGCTCATGCCTGTAATCCCAGAACTTTGGGAGGCTGAGGCGGGTGGATCACTTGAGGCCAGGAGTTTGAGACCAGCCTGGCCAGTATGGTGAAAACCCCGTCTCTATTAAAGATACAAAAAATTGGCCAGGCTTGGTGGCGGACGCCTGTAATCCCAGCTACTCCAGAGGCTGAGGCAGAGAATTGCTTAAACCTGGAGGGGCGGAGCTTGCAGTGAGCCGAGATCGCGCCACTGCACTCCAGCTTGGGCAACAGAGCAAGACTCTGTTGCAAAAAACAAACAAACAAAACAAAACAAAAAAATTAGTGCATGCCAGTAATCCCAGCTATTTGGGAGGTGGTGCATGCCTGTAATCCCAGCTACTCGAGAGGCTGAGGCAGGAGAATCACTTGAATCTGGTAGGCAGAGGTTGCAGGAGCTGAGATCGCACCACTGCACTCCAGCCTGGGCAACAGAGTGAGACTCTGTCTGTAGGGACCAGCCCCACAGGGTCAGTGGGTCTCTCCCCGTGTGCGGAGACGAGAGAGTGTAGAAATAAAGACACAAGACAAAGAGATAAAAGGCAGCTGGGCCTGGGGAACCACTACCACCAAGTCGCGGAGACCGGTAGTGGTCCCAAATGCCAGGCTGCACTGATATTTATTGGATACAAGACAAAGGGGCAGGATAAGGAGAGTGAGCCATCTCCAATGATAGGTAAGGTCATGTGGGTCACGTGTCCACTGGACAGGGGGCCCTTCCCTGCCTGGCAGCCGAGGCAGAGAGAGAGAGGAGACAAAGAGAGAAACAGCTTCCACCATTATTAGAGACTTTTAGTACTTTCACTAATTTGCTACTGCTATCTAGAAGGCAGAGCCAGGTGTACAGAATGGAACATGAAGGCGGACTAGGAGCGTGACCACTGAAGCACAGCATCACAGGGAGACAGTTAGGCCTCCGGATAATTGTGGGCGAACCTGCAGTCAGGCCCTCCACAAGAGGTGGAGGAGTAGAGTCTTCTCTAAACTCCCCCCGGGGAAAGGGAGACTCCCTTTCCCGGTCTGCTAAGTAGCGGGTGTTTTTCCTTGACACTTACGCTACCGCTACACCACAGTCCGCCTGGCCACGGGTGTCTTCCCAGACGCTGGTGTTACCGCTAGACCAAGGAGCCCTCTGGTAGCCCTGTCTGGGCATAACAGAAGGCTCGCACTCTTGTCTTCTGGTCACTCCTCACTATGTCCCCTCAGCTCCTATCTCTGTATGGCCTGGTTTTCCCTAGATTATGATTATAGAGCGAGGATCATTATAATATGGGAATAAAGAGTAATTGCTACAAACTAATGATTAATGATATTCATATATAAGCCTATCTAAGATCTATATCTGGTATAACTATTCTTATTTTATATTTTATTACACTGGAACGGCTTGTGTCCTCGGTCTCTTGCCTCAGCGCCTGGGTGGCCTGCCGCCCACACTGTCTCAAAATAAATAAATAAATAAATAAATAAATAAATAAAGTTTTCACTAAAAAGTGATGCTTTCTGTGTGTGTTTTATAATATTGTCCCTACAGTGGCACAGACTTTCAGCATGAAAGTCTCCTGAGAATTAAGGTGGAATTCGACTTTGCAGTAGGATTCTAGGGTGTTCGAAGGCGGTCCTCCATCTAAGATCTTACCTGTGTCATTAGCAATACCAGCAGGTGACTAAGGAAGTGGATATAACTTGTAGAGACGCCAGTCCACTTTCCGCTCCCATCTCCACCTCTCCCAATTGTTTTATATGGTAACATTTCACCAAGCTGGAACCCTGCACCATTCCTTATTCTACCCTAGAAAAACGGAGAACCTTCGATGTGAACACTTACGTTTTGTGCCAAAAGCTTGAAGTTCTATTCTGAGGTTTAAATTAGCTCCCGCAAAGCGTCCTATCATTTGTGTATGTGGAAAGCTGCTGTAAAATAAAAGCATTGTGCCTGGTGTCCCGGCAGTGTCTTTTCACAAATGGAGTTTGGTCGGCCTCATTTTTCACTCTTTCCATTAGGTGGCGATGGATGCACAGGAAATATCCTCCGAAGCGGCGGTGGAAGCTCTGAGAGGGGCGGGTTTTCAGCTTTTATTTTTTTGCTTTCGCTGAGTCGTCAGTAGCTGATCCACACCGGCGGCCTGTTACTGTGGCTGGGCCCGGATCTGCACCTGCTTCGTGCACCAGTGGGTTGGGTTGGGGGGAGGCGCTGCGTGGCCAGAGTACTCGCCACGGACCACCTGTTTTTTTGTTTTTTTTGAGACGGAGTCTTGCTCTGTTGCCCAGGCTGGAGTGCAATGGAGCGATCTCGGCTCACTGCAGCCTCCGTCTCCCGGCTTCACGCCATTCTCCTACCTCAGCCTCCTGAGTTGCTCGGATTACAGGTGCCTGCCACTACACCCCGCTAATTTTTGTATTTTTAGTAGAGGCGGGGGGGGGGTGTCACCATATTGGCCAGGCTGGTCTCGAACTCCTGACCTTGTGATCCACCCACCTCGGCCTCCCAAAGTGCTGGGAATTCAGGCGTGAGCCACCGCGCCCGGCCCAGACCACCTGTTTAATCCAGCTTCTCCCTAAGCATTGGGGAGCATCCTGCCAGCTGGTAGGAAAAAAAAAATCTCTAGAAATGTTCTCAACTATCCATAGACTTGACATGAGGATGGAGCGGATTCAGGAGCGCGGCCAGCATTGGTCTGGAGGCCCCGCGGCGTCCTTTGCATCCATTTGTGGGGCTGGAAGACAGATTCGCTGGGGGGAGAGGCCCCGGCGACCCCTGGACGGAAATCCCACACTGAGACCTGGCACCCTAACCAGACCCCACCAGAAGCTGCGAGGGCGTCCTCGGCCCCCTTAGAACAGCTTGGAACACACAGAGGAGTCAGTGTCCAGCCAGGCCCGGCCTGATGCAGTGAGGACGGCGGGTCCTATAAGCATCTCAGGGTCAGTGGGGCCCGGAGCGGCCTAAGGGTCAGGCTTCGTGCAGGGAGAGGAGGAGGGAAAGGCCGGGGAGGAACAGGAAGAGGGTGAAGAGCTCCGCGGGGAGGGGGCGGGATCCCTGGAGGTCTGGAGGGAATTTAGAACTGGGGAGGAGAGAAAATGCGGGCCGGGCTGCAGCCCGGGAAAGCGCCGGCTCAGCGGGCCCTTCTCCTTTCTTCACTTCGGCCGTGGGCTTTCCAGGGAGAGTGCGGCGTTTCGGGTCCGGCTTCTCGCCCAAGCAGTCACCCCGCGCACCGCGGCCGGCAGCTGCGGACCCCGCCTGGGCGGAGAGCTCTGGCCACCGCCGGCCGCAAACGGGGCGTGGCGAGGGCGGAGGGGGCGTGGCGAGGGCGGGCGGAGGGGCGTGGCGAGGGCAGCCGAAGGGGCGTGGCGCGGGCCGCGGAGGGGGCGTGGCAGGGCGGGGGAAGGGGCGTGGCGCGGGCAGGCGGAGGGGGCGTGGCGTGGGCGGCCCTACTGGGCCGGGCTCTGCTCTCCCCAGCGCCTGCCGCCGACGCCGCCGCCTCCTCCCGCCGCGCGGACCGTGGAGCGGGGTCGCAGCCGCCTGCCCGCCCTGCGGTGGGCCAGGATGTCGGGCTTCCTGGAGGAGCTGCTCGGCGAGAAGCTGGTGACGGGCGGCGGCGAGGAGGTGGACGTGCACTCGCTGGGCGCCCGCGGCATCTCGCTGCTGGGTCTCTACTTCGGCTGCAGCCTCAGCGCCCCCTGCGCGCAGCTCAGCGCCAGCCTGGCCGCCTTCTACGGGCGCCTGCGGGGGGACGCGGCGGCCGGGCCGGGGCCGGGAGCGGGGGCCGGGGCGGCGGCGGAGCCCGAGCCGCGGCGGCGCCTGGAGATCGTCTTCGTGTCCTCGGACCAGGACCAGCGGCAGTGGCAGGACTTCGTGCGGGACATGCCGTGGCTGGCGCTGCCCTACAAGGAGAAGCACAGGAAGGTGAGCGGCGCGGGCCTCGCCGGCCCCTGCCCGCCCCCCACGCCCGTTACCCCTGCCCGCCCCCCACGCCCGTTACCCCTGCCCTCCGCCAACCCCGTTGTCCCCCTGCCCGCCCTCCACCCCCCGACCCCTGCCCCCAGTCCCCCGCCCCCCGACCCACTGTCCTCTCCCCGCCCCCCACCCCGCCGTCCCCGCCTCTGCCCCCCCCCCTTCCGCGCTGTGCCCGCACCCTCATCCCAGGACCCCTCTTTGGTTCGAGTGCTGCGCTGCGCCCGCCCTGGAAAGTTGGACCCCCCTCGGCCCCCGGGATCCCGGCTCGAGCCCCTCCGTCCGCACACGCTGGGAGCCTCGGGTGGGGGCGGCTGCGCTCGGGGATCCCGGTTCCGCGACCCCTTCACCCGCGAGCAGAGGCGCCAGGCCCTTCCTGCCTCCGCCGCCGACCCCCGCGGATTCCCACAGTGGGGAGGGGAGGGGAGGGGAGGGCGCACGCCCCCCGCCCGTGGCGCCCAAACCAGCGCGTTTCCTTTCTTTCCGGGAGAAACCTGCCTTCCCGGAGCCCCTTCCCCGGGGACCGGGGACCTGGGGGCCGAGGCCGAGGTCAGGAGAGGCGGCCGGTGACCGTGGCCGTGGCTGTGGCCGAGAAGGGCGCTCACGGCTCCGTCTCCCGCCCCCGCCTCCCCCGCCCCAGGCTGAGTTCGCGGCCACCGGGGAGCTTTGCATTGTCTGGCCGTCCAGCCTCCTCCCCAGACGCCTCCCGGGCGCGGGAACAGCCCGGGCTGTGCAGAGCTCAGCTGCGTGGTGGCCCCTGTGGTCCCGGGGTCTTCGAGTTAAGGGCTGAGCTGACCCCATCGATGCACATTGACTGGAAGAAGGAGGATTTGGGGAAATGGATACTTTGCTGTCAACTTCTCGTGTCTCCCAGTTTGCTGCCGAGTTGAGTTTGGGTTTCTGAGTGTGTCCCTTGGGTGAGGATGTCTGTCTCTGTGATAATAAAGCACATCCAGGACATTTTGTAATGAATGGAGTCAGAAAAAGTTTTGGAGCGCTGTTGCTTCGTGAGTGTATATGATGCAACGTGTGAATCCAGCCCCTTTCCCTTTTTGAGGAAAGCCTGTTTCTGGAGTGGACAGAAGGGCTATTCTGGGGGCGTTTAGTTTCCTCTGGGGAGCATGGCGAGGCGTGCCACGTGTTCCTTTTATATGTGCAGAATCTTGTTGAGAAGCATGATTTAGATTTACTGGGAGCAAAAGGCTTACACTGTGACCCCAAATGTCTTGAGTAAATCATCCATCCCGAAGCAGTGGGAGGTAGAGATTCGAGATTTAAAGTATGAAATACAGTTGATCCGATGCAGTTTGTAAATTTCATATTGGGAAAACATAGGTTCACTAACCACTCAGAGGCAAGAGTTGGCATTTTTACTGCTTTTTAGGTTATTTTGCCCATTTTGATTGACATGCTTGATATAGTATGAATATGCATGGCCAGTACTTTTTGATTCAAAATACGAGAATCCTTTGTTTTCCTTGGTGGTGGTTTTTGTGATACGTTCGTGGAGAAATAATGTTCAGAAAGGGATTTGCCAAAAAACATTTTCATTGTTACGGCAAGTTTCTGTTGTAGACTAAAGTCTACTTAAAATAATGTCCTTATCCGGCAATACAAATGATTTCTAGCTTTTGAAAACATAGAATTATGGTAAAATGTTACAGGCTTAACAGCCTATTGTTGTGTTTTTTACTGAAGAGGAAATACATTTTTTGGATAGTAAAAATATGGAGCAAACAGATGTTTTGCAAATGCTTAGAGCTTTTTCCGAAAAAGGAGAATATTTGATAGGACATGGGCCATGGCTGGCTCTCTATACCCTGGACAGGCTCTTTGCATGACAAAAAGTATTCTGCGGCCCTAGCCTGGACCTGCTGATTCCTCCATGATGAGAACCTGGATGACACAGGGCAGACTCTCATTTGAAAATACCGTTGAGAGTGCTGGACGTGCCCAAACCCTGGTGCGTTAGCATCTTAAACATTTTATTTTTTGGCCCAGAGTTTTTCTGACTCACATCCTATACTTTATTCTCTAAAACCAGTCCAGTTTTCAAGGAGGTAGTTTCTTTCCTTGGTCGTGAACAAACCACTCAAGATCTTTCTCGGGGATATATACCAGGTAAAAAGACTCCAGCTGTCCTTCTTATGGAACACATACTCTTGGAAATTACAAAAGCTACGTGCTGATTTTAAAAGGAATTATTGCCGGGTGCGGTGGCTCATGCCTGTTATCCCAGCACTTTGGAAGGCTGAGGTGGGCGGATCACCTGAGGTCGGGAGTTCCAGACCAGCCTGACCAACATGGAGAAACCCCGTCTCTACTAAAAATACAAAATTAGCCAGACCTGGTGGCGCATGCCTCTAGTCCCAGCTACTAGGGAGGCTGAGGCAGGAGAATCGCTTGAACCTGGGAGGCGGAGGTTGCGGTGAGCCGAGATCGCACCATTGCACCCCAGTCTGGGCAACAAGAGCGAAACTCTGTCTCAAAAAAAAAAAAAAAGGAATTATTTTCCCCCTTGAAACCAAAGAGATGTGGAACAAATGCCTTTTCTGTAACTGAGTTTTTGTCTCATTTGAAGTTAGGGTGCTTAGAAGCCCGTGAGCTAATGATGCTAATTTCCCCATCAGAACAAGTGAAGAGCCGGAGTTCTCCCAGCTGAGGGCACTGGATGGGTGAACACGTCTTGTGGATGGACTCTATCCGTGTCATTTCGCCAATGATAAAAATAACTCTAGAGAAGGGAATTTTGTTTTACACTGAAGGGAAACCAGAGTTCCAGATTGCTAATTTTTTTTAAATTCTCATTAACATTTGTTCTTTAAGCCCATGCGTATACTTCTTCCCATTGGGATAACAAAGGGTATGGTTCTAATTAGTTATTGGCTGGCATTTCTCTAAAGAAAATTGAAAAATTATGGTGGGGAAAGAAAATGCTGTGTGGTATTTCTTTTTTTCTTTTATTAATTTCTCCTTTATATAGTTAAAAAAAACCTGGGGATGACCGTATATGTTAAGCCTGCATTTTGCCTGGTTCCTCTCACCTTGACAGGAACTGTGAGAAAACACCAAAAAAAAAAAGGACAAAAATGTAAAAAAACATTCTTTATACAAAATTGTCCTGTTTCTGCCTGTTGTCATGGTAGGTACAAAAGTAATTGAAGCTTAATTTTTTTGGCTTCCAAAACACATATTATTTCAGCTTCCAAAACACACATTATTATATAGCTGTGCATAAATTGTAATTAGATGGTAATAGAACTTTGAGAGCATTTATAACAATTTCATCAGCAAATCTATAATCCTGAAGTTAAGGCAGTTAGACTTGTTTTAATAAGTAGGTTGGTAGATGATTTTCACATTTCTAGAGAGAAGGAATGTGATCGATAGTCAGGAGGTGGTGAAATTTGGACTTTGGGGATTTGGTCTTCCCTTTGGATTAGTATGTTACTCACTCGTCAAGACTGGAGAGGTCCGTCTCCGGGATCCACTTCAGCCTCATAGAAGTGAGCACTCTTTTGGTGTTAAAGTCGCAGAGCTCAACTTTGTCTGGGCTGGATGCCTGATCAAAAACATATGGTCAGTGTGGGTGCACTGACATCCAAGGGTGCAGACCACTGGCTTCCTCTGGACAGTTTTGTGAGGCTCTGGTGTGGCCCCAGGACTTCCTGCATGACAAAGGGGAAGAGAAAGTCTGCAGAGTCAGGGGACCCTGGTCCAGTATCCCTGGTCAGCCTGCTCCAGCCAGGGGAAGTGGAGTCTCACTCTGGCTGCTCTGGGTGGTTCTTTCAGTTCAGACTCAATGAGAAGCTTGGCTGAGAATTTACTTGAATCCCTTTGGCCCTATGGGTGGGACAGGATTTGGTAGCAACCTCAACATTCTTACAACTCCAGCTCTGCCACTCTTCCTTGAATCCAAACACTGCAGCCAGGAAGAGAACAGTTGCTGTGACACCACTGTATCTTTTCTTTGCATTCACTTTCAAGGTGGGAAAAGATGGCAAAAAGGTGCAGATTTGAAAATTAGGATTTTCTGCCTTCTTCATAAGAAGCCCGGACCAGCCAGGACAGGCTCCCACTGGTGACTGTGTTTCTAGGACTTGGGCCAGTCTTTTAGTAATAAAGGACAACAGTCCAGTTAGGAGCAGGCCGGGTGTGATGGCTCACACCTGTAATTCAGCACTTTGGGAGGCCAAGGTGGGGGGATCACTTGAGCCTAGGAGTTTGAGACCAGCCTGGGCAACATGGTGAAACATTGTCTTTGCAAAAAATAACAATTAGCTGGTCACAGTGGTGGGTACCTGTGGTCCCAGCTACTCGGGAGGCTGAGGCAGGAGGATTGCTTAAACCCAGGAGGTGGAGGCTGCAGTGAGCCATGTTTGTGTCACTACACTCCAGCCAGGACAACACAGCAAGACCCTGTATTAAATAAATAAATAAATAAATAAATAAATAAAAATAAAGTAATAAGAGCAATGTTCCTTGAGAGGCTTTTTCTTGTTCCATCATTTGTAATATATTTTTTAATCTCTTTGTTTTTTCTCTGCATAATAAGGCAGTCTAATACATGGCTAAAAATATAGAGTCTTTTGTCCTTCTGCTTGAGTTCACGCCCCCGCTCTGCCGTTTATTAGCTGTGTGTCCTTGTGCAAGGCGCTGTACATCTCTGTACCACACGTTCCTTTTCCATTTGTGATAACAGCACCTGCCTTATTGTGTAAAGGCTACGCGAGATAATATACACGTGCCTGGCATGTGGTGAGTGCTCAATAAATGCTATTATTGTGTTTAGATAAATGATCATTAAGTTTAGTCATTCATTTCATAGCTTGAGCCTTGGGAATCTATCACATTACTGAACTGTAAAACGGTTATGAGGTATATCCATATATCTATATATATATATCTATATACTTTTTTGAGATGGAGTCTCGCTCTGTCACCCAGGCTGGAGTGCAGTGGTGCGATCTCGGCTCACTGCAAGCTCCGCCTCCCGGGTTCACGCCATGCTCCTGCCTCAGCCTCCTGAGTAGCTGGGACTACAGGCGCCCACCACCACGCCTGGCTAATTTTTTTTGTATTTTTAGTAGAGACGGGGTTTCACTGTGTTAGCCAGGATGGTCTCGATCTCCCGACCTCGTGATCCGCCCAGCTCAGCCTCCCAAAGTGCTGGGATTACAGGCATGAGCCACCGCGCCCGGCATGAGGTATATTTTTAAACTTTTCAAACCAATGACTTTTACAAGCATACAAGGGGATTTGATGAAGGTGTCAAAAAAATTGCCCTACAATGGCCGGGCACTGTGGCTCACGCCTGTCATCCCAGCACTTTGGGAGGCCGAGGTGGGTGGGTCACTTGAGGTCAGGAGTTCAAGACCAGCCTGGCCAACATGGTGAAACCCCATCTCTACTAAAAATACAAAATTAACCAGGTGTGGTGGTACACACCTGTACTCCCAGCTACTCGGGAGGCTGAGGCAGGAGAATCGCTTGAACCCGAGAGGTGGAGTTGGCAGTGAGCTGAGATCGGGCCACGGCACTCCAGCCTGGGTGACAGAGCAAGACTCCGTCTTGGAAAAAAAAAATTAAATAAAAAAAATTGCCCCATAAGAGATTATAACTGCGAAGAAAGACCTAGAAGAATGAAACAACAAATACAGTGCCTTAAAGTCCCGGGATATTACTGATACTTACTGAGCTCTGTATTTCTATCTGCCAATGACGCTCCAGACTGCTGCTGATCGACGAAGCCTGGGAAAGATTTAAGTTACTATTAAGTTACCCTTTCAGTCACCCTTGTAACTTAAAGATGATCAGGCACTCTTCTTGAGAGAAATTACGCACAAAGCAATCATTTTGTGGTTTCCCAAAGCTATTAGGTGTGTCTTCCGCTGACCCTGTTTGCTTAACTCTGGGCGGTGTAGAGGTTGAAAGACTGCTGTTTCGCGTGGGAAATGGAGGGTGCTCATCTCTGGAGCTGTAGAAACGCCACCTCTAGCGTGGACCTGCCTCCCGTCCCAGCTCTGGAATGCTGCGGGATGGGTTTGCTCAGACATGTAGGCATTGCTGGTTTGGTACTCATCTCCCAGTTAGCAGCTCAGGCCTGCCTCTGAGTAGCCGTCCACAGCTCTTGCTGATCGATTTGTCTTCTGACACGGGTTGGAATGTGAGCTAGAGCACAGAGGCAAGCCCTGGAAGTTAGGGTCACTGATTTGATTCTACCTTTTTTTTTTTTTTTTTGAGACGCAGTCTCGCTCTGTCGCCCAGGCTGGAGTGCAGTGGAGCGATCTGGGCTCACCGCAATCTCCGCCTCCCGGGTTCCTGCCATTCTCCTGCCTCAGCCTCCCGAGTAGCTGGGACTACAGGGGCCCGTCACCACCCCTGGCTAATTTTTTGTATTATTAGTAGAGACGGGGTTTCACCGTGTTAGCCATGATGGTCTCGATCTCCTGACCTCGTGATCCACCCGCGTCAGCCTCCCAAAGTGCTGGGATTACAGGCGTGAGCCACCGCACCCGGCCCTGATTCTACGTTTTAAAATATTCCTACCTTTTGTTGGGAAGGTGTTGTAATGTGCACACACATTTGAGAAAACAGGCTTTGTGCACAGCTGGGGTCGGGGTTGAACAAACCCCTTGGGGATCTTCCTTTTTCCTGACAGTGATCAGGGTTCCAGGGCTCCAGCTCGTCCCGTTGTGAACTAGGTGGGATCCTTCCTGCATGATTTCATTTTGGCCAGGAGAGCACAGGCTTGGCATAGGATGTGTTTTCTTTCCTTTTTTTCTTTTTCTTTTTTTTCAGATGGAGTCTCGCTCTGCCAGGCTGGAGAGCAGTGGCGCGATCTCGGCTCACTGCAACCTCCGCCTCCTGGGTTCAAGCGATTCTCCTGCCTCAGCCTCCCGAGTAGCTGGGATTACAGGCGCCAGCCACCACGCCTGGCTAAGTTTTGTATTTTTTAAATTTTTTTTGAGATGGAGTTTTGTTCTTGTTGCCCAGGCTGGAGTGCAATGACACCATCTCAGCTCACCGTGACCTCTGCCTTCTGGGTTCAAGCAATTCTTCTGCTTCAGCCTCCCGAGTAGCTGGGATTATAGGCGCATGTGCCACCACGCCCGGCTAATTTTGTATTTTTAGTAGAGATGGGGTTTCACCATGTTGGTCTGGCTGGTCTCCAACTCCCAACCTTAGGTGGTCCGCCTGCCTTGGCCTCCCAAAGTGCTGGGCTTACGGGTGTGAGCCACCGTGACTGGCCAATTTTTATATTTTTAATAGAGACAGGGTTTCACCATGTTGGCCAGGCTGGTCTTGAACTCCTGACCTCAGGTGATCCACCCGCCTCGGCTTCCAAAGTGCTGGGATCACAGCGTGAGCTGCGGCGCCCGGCCAGGATGTGTTTTCTTTCTTCATGATCTGAATTCCCAGTGGTGCATGGTGTGAACCACCAAGGTGCTTAGTTTTCTGTGTTGCATTGAATTTACCGTTTATGCGTATTCCAAGACAATCAAGGAAAATCGCTATGAATTTGGAATCTTTGTGAATCCTGACTTTCTTTTTTTTTTTTGAGATGGAGTCTCGCTCTGTCACCCAGGCTGGAGTGCAGTGGCGCGATCTCGGCTGACTGCCAGCTCCGCCTTCCCGGTTCACGCCATTCTCCTGCCGCAGCCTCCCGAGGAGCTGGGACCACAGGTGCCCGCCCTCACGCCCGGCTAATTTTTTGTGTTTTTAGTAGAGACGGGGTTTCACCGTGTTAGCCAGGATGGTCTTGAACTCCTGACCTCATGATCCACCTGCCTCGGCCTCCCAAAGTGCTGGGATGACAGGCGTGAGCCACCGCGCTCGGTCTGTTTTTGTTTCTCAATGAGTGTTTTAAAGAGGACTAAATGAGCAAATGGATGTCACAGCTGGGTGAGTCCCAGCAGCTTCTTGTGCAACTGGATTGCCGTGTGATTCTGTGCTCAAAAATAGGAAAAAGCTTGACTCTCCATTTTTGAAATGTCAAATATCTGAGTCTATTAAAAGAGACTCGGCCACGCGCGGTGGCTCACGCCTGTAATCCCAGCACTGTGGGAAGCCGAGGTGGGCGGATCACCTGAGGTTGGGAGTTCTAGACCAACCTGACCAATGTGGAGAAACCCTGTCTCTACTTAAAATACAAAATTAGCCGGGTGTGGTGGTGCATGCCTGTAATCCGAGCTACTGAGGAGGCTGAGGCAGGAGAATCACTTGAACCCTGGAGGCGGAGGTTGCATTGAGCCGAGATCGCACCACTGTACTCCAGCCTGGGGAATAAGAGTGAAACTCCGTGTCAAAAAAAAAAAAAAAAAAGAGTCTCATATCTGCAGACCTGTCATGCCATGCTTTAATATTTCATTGTTTGCATTTCTCTAGCATCTTTCTTCCAAAGAACTCAAAATGCGTACATATTACGTCTTCCAGCAACTAGTAATCAGTAGATATTCACCGTTTTAACTTTTCCAAGTATGTTAGAGCTGGAGAATTGAAGCAAAGAGCACCGATTATTAGATCAGGGTCACAGTGTTGGATGAAAGAGCTTGGCTGAACTCCCTTAAATTCAACTTGGTCCTTTCTGTTCACGGAATTGTACCTTAAAAAATACTCACATCAAACGTTCCGCATGGAGGAGGAGGAGCAGCAAGCCTCTTCAGGTGGCTTTCTTCCTCTAGGTGTGCAGGGACCGCTCTGAGATAAGACAGAGGTAGTTGAACGGCTTGAAACATTCGCTGGTTGCTTGGAAGGCAGGAGAGCGAGAACCTCTTCTCTCTTGCTGCCTTTTTCCATGGTGGTGTTTTTTTTTCTAAGGGCCTTTTTAATGATTTGGCTTTTTTTTAGTTCCTCCAGTGAAGGGCCCCCCAACTCCCCCTTCATCCTACGGAAAGCCTGCAGGCTGCTGTAGTGCTTTTTGTTCAGAGACAAAATTGAACTTCAGGTGTCCTGCCGAGATCCTAGGACTAAATCAGTCCTCCCTTTTATGAGGTTTGCAGAAACTGCCGTTCCAACTTCCAGTGAAATCTCAAACCTGTGCTTTCTGCACCACGACGAGGCAGAAGCCCAGTGCCGTTACTCGGGAGTGAGACCCGTCATGGAAAGTTTTGTTCTGTGGCCTCCGTGATTAAAAGCAAACGTAAATTTTCTGCGGCTTGCCGGTCATAACTCTTGGACCAGATACACAGTGTATTTTTGTATGAACTACATCAGAAAGTCCTTTTAAAAAAACAACGTAAGCTTCACTTCGTCGCTTCCTTCTGTCCAATCCGTCAGCCTCTCCCCCTGCTCCCCAGGGTGTCTCAGTACAGGCACCAATTACAGGTAAATTCAAGTGCTGTTTCTACAGTGAATGACGGTTTTATCTCATATCGTTGTCGAACAGTCACCAAACAGGGTGTGGTGAGTTCTGCTGTCCTAGGGATAGGGCTTTCTCTTTGTTTTCCTGGGAGAATTTCATCCAGATGCATCAGTTCCACATTTTTTTTTAATTTGTCTTTTTTTGGTCAATATGCCTGGGATAAAAATCTGGATGGATTTAATCTGTTTAAAATCAGAAGGCGCTGCTTTTCCTCCCGTTAAACGTGATCAGGTCAAGACGGTTTTCTTTTGATCGTGGTGGCTCACAGCACAGCTGCCTCATCTGTTACTCATTTTTCAGGTTTTGATGTGAAATCTGAAGATTGGGCGGGACCACGTGCAATAGGGAAAAATCGCAGTGTGACCGCCGGAGCCCCGAATAGGCGTGAATGTAGCTGTGAGTGCAGCGTTTTCCAGCTCTGGGCATGTTCTTGACTGCAATTGTAAAAATTGTTTTTACCCGTGATCTTTCAAAAATACTCCATTATGGTATGTGAATATTTAAAGTGTGTTCCATAGTAGACGAAGAATATAGACTGGAAATCCAGATCCAGGTTTCCCGGGTTGGAAACTTGGCTGTTTCCCGGGGGTGTGACTTTGGGGCCAGTTCTGGAATTTCTGTGTCTCTAGTTTCCTGGTGAGTAAAATGGAGATGATGGTACCAGCCTCTTAGGGTGGTTGTTAAGGATTGAATGACATAATATTTGACAAGTACTTAGGATGGTGCCTGGTGCATAGCACGTGCCGTTTAAATGTTTACCAGGCGCTTCGGTATTCATTCCACATTTTATGGTTATTTGGATTATAAGAGAGAGGAATTCAGCCTTTTTACCTCTTTGTACCCCTCCCCCATTCCAAAGCACCTAGTTATTTATTTGTATCTAGAGACTATCACAGAACCTGGTTTCTCTTCATTTTTTTGCTTCTTTTCTTTCTTTTCTTTTCTTTTTCTTTCTTTCTTTCTTTTTTTTGAGACCGTGTCTCTCTCTGTCTCCCAGGCTGGAGTGCAGTGGTACGATCTCAGCTCACTGTGACCTCTGCCTCTTAGGTTCAAGCGATACTCCTGCCTCAGCCTCCTGAGTAGCTGGGATTACAGGTGCCCGCCACCACGCCTGGCTCATTTTGTCTTTTTAATAAAGACAGGGTTTCACTATCTTGACGAGGCTGGTCTTGAACTCCTGACCTCAAGCGATCCGCCTGCCTCAGCCTCTCAGAGTGCTGGGATTACAGGCGTGAGCCACCATGCCTGGCCTCTCTTCATTTTCCTTCTAGGACAATAATTGTCTGTCAGTTGTTGATTTGATGACATCTGTGTCTTTGATTGTTTGCTTGTTTGTGTGAGAGAGCTCTTGCTGTGTTGCCCAGGCTAGAGTGCAGTGGCACAGTCAGGGCTCACTGCAGCTTTGACCTGGGCCCAGGCAGTCCTCCCACCTCAGCCTCCCGAGTAGCTGGGAATGCAGGTGTGCACCACCACGCCGGGCTGCATCTGTGTATCTTTGCATATGGGTGTAATTCTAGATCATCTCTTTGACTAATCAGGTGCTCGGTTTTACTGAATGGATCCCGCACCCTCTTTTGAGCTGGGAGAGGCCAGGGGGAGATACTGGTCTGTGCATATGTCTCTTAATATTATTTATTTTGGGAAACTTTAAATATCATGCAGGTAGAGAAAGCAGTTCAGTGAATCCCCACATATCCACCCACATTCAACAGTCATCAACTCAAGGACACCTACTGCCCCCACCCCCACCTCCTCAATGATCTTGAAGATAGTCCCAGCCGTCATCTCATTTCCTTCATAAGCATTTCACTAAGTAACCCTTAAAAAACATAACCACAATATCACACCCAAGAAATCCATCAGTTCTTTAGTTTCAGCAAATATCCAGTTAGTATTCACATTTTCCTGATTGTCTCCTAATTTTTTTTTTTTTTTGAGACGGAGTCTCGCTCTGTCGCCTGGGCTAGAGTACAGTGGCGCGATCTCAGCTTGCTGCAAGCTCCGCCTCCTGGGTTCACACCATTCTCCTGCCTCAGCCTCCCAAGTAGCTGGGACTACAGGTGCCCGCCACCATGCCTGGCTAATTTTTTGGTATTTTTAGTAGAGATGGGGTTTCACCATATTAGCCAGGATGGTCTTGATCTCCTGACCTCGTGATCCACCTGCCTCGGCCTCCCAAAGTGCTGGGATGACAGTTGGTTTGTTTGAATCCAAATAAAATTTGCCCATTACATTTGGTAGCTGTATCCCTTAAGCCTCTTTTAACCTATAGTTTCCCTTCCCTGCTTTTCCTTGCAATTTATTTGTTGTTCTTATCCATTTAACTTGGTCCTGTCCCTGGGTCTGCCTCCTTGCCACATTCCTGAACTTTTCTGAGCCCTGTTTTCTGCCTTATCTAGGTGTGTAGAATATCAACTCCTGGGTTCAGAAGGGTCTGAGTTTCCTGTGGGTGAGAGGTCCAGATATAGGTCAGCTTTAGGCCCGGGTGGCACAGATGCCGTCCTGGGGCAGGTCCTTGCCCATCTCCCCGCCCCGCCTGTCTCTGCGCCCTGGCCTCTGGCAGGCTGTTCCTCATCTCCT
Source organism: Homo sapiens (assembly GCF_000001405.40). NCBI lineage: Eukaryota > Metazoa > Chordata > Mammalia > Primates > Hominidae > Homo > Homo sapiens. Next base: position 967,326 of record NC_000017.11, on the reverse strand, counting down.
AGTGGCCTGAGGACCATCGGCAGTTCTGAGCCTGCTTCCTGTCCTCCCAGACTCCCAGCAGCAGGAGTCCGGCATGGTCGCCCTTGATCCCATAACTGGTCACTGTGGCCGGGATGTGTAAATACCAAAGGGCCAAGCCTGAGTTGTGTCCACACCTGTGTAGCTGGAGGCTGGGGTCCCAAGCCAGGTGGACTGAGCCTCAGGCCTGGGGGCTGTGGGGGGGCTTGTCAAGAAAAATCAGGGTGTATTACTGAGGGAGAGTGGCCCCTACGGTCACCGTCTCTGTGTGGGGTGTTTCCAGTGACCCCAACACACCATCTCCTGAGGAAGTCCATTCTGACCTCAGCCGTCCTCTCCCAGGGGACCGCTGGGCCGTGAAGAACTGCAGACAACTCTTCTCTCTCCCCAGGGAGAGTCCCCTGGTCCTTGGAGCATTTCTCCTGTGATGTGGGTTCACCCTTCCCCCCCACCCAGGCCATTCAGATCCAAGCACCCTCCAAGATTGTCTGCCCCACCCCCCCAACAGTCATCCCCCCACCTGAATGCAGACTCCAGTGTGGTCTGTCCAGGCACAGAGGGCAGCTGGCTGCCCTACCTCCTTTGTTGCCCAATTTTTTGGCCTCCCTGGGCCACGTTGGAAGAAGAATTGTCTTGGGCCACACATAAAATATGCGAACACCAGCCGGGCGTGGTGGCTCATGTCTGTATTCCCAGCACTTTGGGAGGCTGAAGTCGACGGATCCCCTGAGGTCAGGAGTTTGAGACCAGCCTGACCAACATGGAGAAACCCCGTCTCTACTAAAAATACAAAATTAGCCGGGCGTGGTGGCGCATGCCTGCAATCCCAACTACTCGGGAGGCTGAGGCAGGAGAATCATTTGAACCCTGGAAGCGGAGGTTGCGGTGAGCCAAATTCGTGCCACTGCGCTCCGGCCTGGGTAACAAGAGCGAAACTCCATCTCAAAAGAAAAAAAAATGCTGACAACACTAGTGATAGCTGATGAGCTAAAAAAAAAGCAAATAGCAAAAAAATCTCATAATGTTTTAAGAAAGTTTACAAATTTGTGTTGGGCCCCATTCAAAGCTGTCCTGGGCCACATGTGTCCGCGTGCTGTGGGTTGGACAAGCTTGTTGTAGATGTTATGTAGACTTCTGTTACCATGTCGCGAGATCTCATTGCATTCACTTTTCTTTTCTTTTTTTTTTTTTTGAGACAGAATTTTGCTCCTGTTGCCCAAGCTGGAGTGCAGTGGTGCCATCTCAGCTCACTGCAACCTCTGCCTCCCAGGTTCAAGTGATTCTCTTGCCTCAGCCTCTCGAGTAGCTGGGACTACAGGTGCCCGCCACCACACCCAGCTAATTGTTTGTATTTTTAGTAGAGACAGGGTTCCACCATGTTGGTCAGGCTGGTCTCGAACTCCTGACTTCATGTTTTCCCCACCTCGGCCTCCCAAAGTGCTGGGATTATAGGTGTGAGTCACTGTGCCCTGTCTGTTGAAGTCACACCATTCTCCTGCCTCGGCCTCCCGAGTAGCTGGGACTACAGGCTGATGTGATCACCTACAGTCATCAAAGCCCCTTCTTAGCTCTGTGTTATGTGGTCCCTGCTAGACTGTTGTTTATACAAGCAGTTGATAAAAATGTTGATTAGCCTGAGTCTGGGGATAGAGTTGGGGGGTTATGCCGCTAGACACCTTCTCCAGGCTAGGAGGAGTCTGTTAGTCAGTTGCTCAGCCGTCTTCAAATCCAGCCGATTCCAAACTTGCCCTGATTGGATTATGATTCAGCCCACACTCCTCGGTGTGATCAGCATGTTTATTGTAGGAGGCCCTCACAGACAGCTTGCTATCACTTAGATAGTTCCTATTGATAGTTTTCAAGGAAAGATAGTCTGAAATGACGTGTGTTTGGTGAATGCATGCTTGCTTCTAACAGATCCCTTCTTTTCCTAAGTGTGTGTGATAACTAAAGTAAGCCGGAAGGTCTGTTGAAGGGTTGATGTCGAGTCCAGCTCTCTGCCATCTGGAGAATCTCCCACTTTTGTCTTTTTGAAAATCGAGACTCCCTCCGTCGGTGGGTTGCTGGTCACGAAATCACGGATGACGGTTAAGTGAGCTTAAGGCCCACGTTCTCCCTCTTGGATGTAATCTGAGAACTGCTTTATCTGCTGGGCATGTGTGGAGTGTGGGTACAATTGTTTCCTGCAGAGGACCCTGTGGAAATAGCTGGCTAGATACGCCCAATAGTCAGTGTGCGGTTGAGAGTCCCCCATTTGTCCAGAAGGCGCAGAGCTTGTACTTCCTGAGGGCCATGTGGTAATCCTGACTGCCCTGCCCTCTACCCAACACCCCTCTCCCCGCCTCCTCTCATTAGGGCATTAATGGAGCCTGAGGGAGTCTTTTTCTTAATACCATTCTCTCCGTCACACACAGGATGCGAAGCCCGCTGGCTAATTAAGTGTGGCATTTTGTTTCAAAATTATCCATAGACAGTCACTAGCTGCAAAGCAGCCCACTGTCCTTGTGCTGATAGATGTTTTTCTTAATATTTTAGGGTGACTCAGTCCATTTATTTCATGAATTTTACCTTACTTTGAAATAGGTTTCTTTTCTTACACAAGTGTCTTTGACCACCTAAAGTTACACACAAATCTGTAATATACATTGCAGTTTGGCACCTAAGGATTCTGACATTTCAGATGTAGGCGTGAGGGTGAATTGGAAGTAAATGCCTTCAGACATTTTCCTGGGGGGAAATCAGTTTCCTAAATTTGCAGAAAGTCCCGGCTTCAACCCTTGGATGCGTTGCTTTAAGCTTTTTACAAATGTTCTTAAGAATAAAATGCTACTTAATACCACGTGAACATATTCTCTTTCATTTGGATTTGCGGAAAGTATTAATTTGCAGAGACTGGGGTGGAACACTCTAGTTCTGAAGCGCTTTTTGAAGCCCTTCTTTCTTGTGAAGAAATTAGTGACATTTTTTCTGAGATCCTCTGGATCTGTTCTGCCCCTGAGCCAACAGTTCAGGCAAATAGAGATCCTTACAACAAAACACGGTGTGTGTTCATGAGGAGACAGGGATTTATCTGTCTCTGTACATGCAGCACAAATTATGGCTTTCCTGCTGACTGTTTACATTAGAAAGCCATTTATATTCCTCTGCTCAGCATGACTTCATACGCCATGTTTCTCTGTGTTCACTGTTTTCCATCTGCAAGAGAGAGCCAGCATTTTTTGTTTTTGTTTTTGAGACGGAGTCTTGCTCTGTCGCCCAGGCTGGAGTGCAGTGGCGCGATCTCGGCTCACTGCAAGCTCCGCCTCCCGGGTTCACGCCATTCTCCTGCCTCAGCCTCCCAAAGTGCTGGGATTACAGGCGCCCGCCACCACGCCCGGCTGATTTTTTGTATTTTTAGTAGAGACGGGGTTTCACCACGTTAGCCACGATGGTCTCGATCTCCTGACCTCGTGATCTGCCCTCCTCGGCCTCCCAAAGTGCTGGGATGACAGGCGTGAGCCACCGCGCCCGGCCCAGCATTTTATTTATTAACTGTAACAATAATCCTCTTTCCAAAGATAACATCACTGTTAGTAGTGTCTGGTATGTTTTTCCAGAAAAAGAATAGGCATATACTGCATATGAAAATACATATGCTTAAATGGTTTTTTGCGCAAATCAATTTAGCATTTTAAAAAAAAAAATTTCCTTTTTGTCCTTTTTTCCCTGAGACAGAGTCTTGTTCTGTCACCCAGGGTGGAGTGCAGTGGTGCGATCTTGGCTCACTGCAACCTCCGCCACCTGGTTTCAAGCGATCCTCCCACCTCAGCCCCCTGAGTAGTGGGAACTGCAGGTGTGTCCCACCACACCGGACTGATGTTTTTATTTTTTGTAGAGGAGGGTTTCACTATTTTGCCCAAGCTGGTCTCGAACTCCTGGCCTCAAGCGATCCACCTGCCTTGGCCTCCCAATGTGCTGGGATTACATACGTGAGCCACTGCGCCTAGCCCGGATATAGCATTTTAAATTAACTGTTATTTTCTGGAAGGGCAGTATGTTAAAAAAAAAATTTCAAATAAAATGAAAGGGGTGTGTGTGTGTGTGTGTGTGTGTGTCCGTCCCAGTACCTATACCTTTTTTTTTTTTTAAATCAAGCCTTTTAAATGGGTCTTGGTTATATCCTCGGCTAACCTGACAGGTGCTGCTTTTTCTGTCTCAGGTGGGTAGAGGCTAAAAGTGTCAGTGTGTGCCTGTCTGATAACCTTGTATGATTTCTGCCTTGATAATGAACCCAACACAGTTAGAGACAAGGAACAGAATCCCTCAAACCACCGCTCTCCTTAGATGGGAAATGTCTCAGGCTGATGTGCTCCCTGTGTACAACAGGCGAAAGGAGGCCTTTGAAAGCCGCTTCCCCGTCCTTAGAGAGGGGCCCCTCTAGGACTGATGGAAAGCAGTGAGAAGATGGTGTCTGTGAAACTCCCGCCGCTGGGCTCTGCCGTTTGGATAAGCTGAGAGGCTCATTCTCTGAGGCCATCAGTCTCCGCTTCCAAGCGCATTCAGATGTATATGGGGACAAAAGCCTTCTCCGTGCCGGGCACTTCTATTATGCTGTGGCTTTTGTGGGGGACTAGTATTAGGCAACTTGTATTTAATATAGATTTTTTTACTTACTGAAGGTTGCTGTATTTTTAAAAACCCACCTCACCTTAAATCCAAAGTTATGAAATAGATAAATTCAGGGACAATTCACATTTTTAAAATCTAATATTTATTTATTTATTTTGAGATGGGGTTATGAGACTGGCTAATTTTTGTATTTTTGGTAGAGACGGGGTTTTACCGTGTTGTCCAGGCTGGTCTCGAACTCCTGGACTCAAGTGATCCACCTGCTTCCACCTCCCAAAGTCTTGGGATTACAGGCGTGAGTCACCGTGCCCGGCTGGGAATCCTCTTTTTATCACAGAAGGACCTTCGTTTTGTTAGGCAATATGCCTAGTTGTTTCAGATTGTGAGCTCCTAAGAGGTGTTCAACCTGTGATTGCCTCTGCTTAGGAAAATTCACCTGCAGTGTCTCAGGAATGTATCTATTGCTTTGAGAAAAGTGTACAAATATGATGTCAAAAGTCTTCTCACCTACTATTACACACAACTCTCCCCCGTTTTCCTGAATGTTCCTTCTTTTCTTCTTTTCTTGAGACAGAATCTCACTTTGTTGCCCAGGCTGGAGTGCAGTGGCGCGATCTCGGCTCACTGCAGCTCCACCTCCCGGGTTCAAGTGATTCTCCTGCCTCAGCCTCCTGAGTAGCTGGGATTACAGGCACGCGCCACCACGCCTGGCTAATTTTTGTGTTCTTGGTAGAAACGAGGTTTCACCATGTTGGTCAGGAAGGTCTTGAACTCCTGACCTCAGGTGATCCACCCGCCTCCACCTGGCAAAGTGTTGGGATTACAGGTGTGAGCCACTGCACCCAGCTAATGTTCCTTATTTTCTTCTTTATGAGGCCACTGAGAAAATTTATAATTCATTTGGTTGCAGGTTCATGTAAGCAAGTTGCTTAAGAAAAGTCAAAGGGTTGCTATGGGAATGTTAATTAAATAAATAGATAGTAGAAATTATGAAAGGCAAACTTTTCAAAGATTCAGTGAGCCCTAAGGGAGGACTTGATTTAAGAAGGGAAGGGGAATTAATGTCAGTTTAGAAGTGAGAATATGATCTGAATTAGTCATAAATGCAGATGAAATGTACATCCTGTAGGTTAGGACAAAACTGTTAAGATGCTTACCTCATTTTACCTTGCCCTCCTGAAGAGATTCCTTACAGCTGTATATCCTAGTGAGACCCTGGAAATCCTCTGAATGTTAACAATCATGGAAGGGTTAAGTAAATTACAATACTTACTGTCTTGTTGAACAGCTATTTCTTTTTCTTTTTTTTTTTTCTTGAGACGGAGTCTCACTCTGTCGCCCAGGCTGGAGTGCAATGGCATGATCTCGGCTCACTGCAACCTCTGCCTCCCGGGTTCAAGCGATTCTCCCGCCTCAGCCTCCCAAGTGGCAGGCACGCGCCACCACACCCGGCTAATTTTTGTATTTTTAGCAGAGAAGGGCTTTTGTCGTGTTGGCCAGGCTGGTCAGGAACTTCTGACCTCAGGTGATCCGCCTGCCTCAGCCTCCCAAAGTGCTGGGATTACAGGCATGAGCCACTGTGCCCAGCCTGAATAGCTATTAAAAATCGAGTTAATTGGCCAGGCACGGTGGCTCACGGCTGTAATCCCAGCACTTTGGGAGGCCGAGGCAGGCAGATCACGAGGTCAGGAGATCGAGACTATCCTGGCGAACACGGTGAAACCCCGTCTCTACTAAAAATAGAAAAAATTAGCCGGGCGTGGTGGCGGGTGCCTGTAGTCCCAGCTACTCAGGAGCTGAGGCAGGAGAATCACTTGAACCTGGGAGGCGGAGCTTGCAGTGAGCCGAGATTGCGCCACTGCACTCCAGCCTGGGTGGCAGAGCGAGACACCATCTCAAAAAAAAAAAAAAATCGAGTTAATTGGCCAGGCGTGGTGGCTCACACCTGTAATCCCAGTGCTTTGGGAGGCCAAGGTGAGAGGATCACTCGAGCCCAGGAGTTTGAGGCCAGCCTGGGCAATATAGCAAGACCTTGTTTCTGCTAAAAATAAAATGATTAGCCAGGCATGGTGGTGTGTGCCTGTAGTTCAGCTACTCAGGATGCTGAGGTGGAAGCATCGCTTGAGCCCAGGGACTTGTGTCCAGCCTGGACAACATGGGGAGATCCTGTCTCTCCAAAAACTTAAAAAATTGGCCCTGCATGTTGGTGCACACCTGTAGTCCCAGCTATTCAGGAGGCTGAGGCAGGAGGATCACTTGAGCCTGGGAGGTTGAGGCTGCAGTGAGCCGTGATCCTGCCACTGCACCCCAGCCTGAGTGACAGAAGGAGACCCTGTCACAAAAAAAAGGGTTGGCGGTTAAAAGTTTTTGCTGGAATATAGAGCTGTAGACCTATACTTCACATACTGCATTCAGAAAAGCGAGATCCCAAATTATACATGATACCATGATTATAGATGGCACTGTATTAAACAGATACATAAAAAGGAAGATTGAAGTAAATACCCCCATTGCTTACTGTTGTGTTAGGTGGTGGCCTCCGTGGGTGGTGGGTTTCTGATTCCCACATGTTCCAAATGTAATCACTTGATTATTCCATTTTTTTTTTAAAGATGGAGTCTCGCTCTGTCTCCCAGGCTGGAGTGCAGTGGTGCAATCTCGGCTGACCGCAACCTCTGCCCCCCGGGTTCAAGCGATTCTCCTGCCTCAGTGTCCCGAGTAGCTGTGATTACAGGCACCTGCCACCATGCCCAGCTAATTTTGTATTTTTAGTAGAGACAGGGTTTCATTGTGTTGGCCCGGCTGGTCTGGAACTCCTGACCTCAAGTAATCCACCCGCCTCAGCCTCCCAAAGTGCTGGGATTACAGGCATGAGCCACCACACCCAGCCCTGTTTTTTTTTTTTTTATACAGAGTCTCGCTCTTGTTCCCCAGGCTGGAGTGTGGTGGCGCGATCTAAGATCACTGCAACCTTCACCTCCCGGGTTTAAATGATTCTCCTGCCTCAACCTCTGGAGTAGCTGGGATCACAGGCGCCTGCCACCACACCTAACTAATTTTTGTATTTTAGTAGAAAGGGGTTCACCATGTTGGCCAGGCTGGTCTTGAACTCCTGACCTCAAGTAATCTGCCCGCCTCAGCCTCCGAAAGTGCTGGGATTACAGGTGTGAGCCACTGCGCCTGGCCTATTTCACCTTTTTTTTTTTTCTCACTTCTGAAGTCCTTTATTGGGCCGGTGAGGCTGGGAGCTTCCCTGGGAGTGGGGTCCCAGTCTGGAGTCCTCAGGCCAGTGGCGCCCTGCCCGTTCTCCCGCTCTGGCCGGGGCAGGCAGCCTCTGCGCGACTCCACGTACTCCCAGCCCTCCTTGGAGTGTCGCGGGCCTGGGAGGGGCCTACAGAGCTGTGATGATACCTGCATTCCAGGAGTCATGGAGGGGAAAGGAAGGCTTTGGAGGGGCTGGGAGCTGGGGTATCTGCAGGCCTGTCTGCTGACACACGTACTGGCTGAACTGGTACGTGGCGGGGAACCACCTCTCCAGCCTTCCGTAGGGGCGCTCGGCTCTTGTTGCTGGGCCCCAGCAGCTCCTGGCCATACATCAGGTCGACGCGCCTCCAGCCACACCGCCCGTGATGAGGAACCTCATCAGTGACCACACCGCGGCCACCATGGTCCCTCGGCTCCGCGCACATCCGCATGATTCTTTCTTGCAAGATGAAAGAACTCGTATCGTGTGTGTGTGTGTGTATGTGTGTGTGTGTGTTTCTTTTTTAAAGACAAGTCTCAGGCTGTCACCCAGGCTGGAGCACAGTAGTGTGATCATGACTCACTGCAGCCCTGACCTCCTGGGCTCAAGCGATCCTCCCACCTCAGCCCCCTGAGAAGCTGAGACTACAGGAGCTCACCACCTCCCCAGCTAATTTTTATTTTATTTTATTTTTTGAGAGGGAGTCTCGCTCTGTCGCCTGTGCTGGAGTTCAGTGGCACAATCTGGGCTCACTTCTACCTCCGCCTCGGTGATTCTCCTGCCTCAGCCTCCTGAGTAGCTGGGACTACAGGCGCACGCCACCACGCCTGGCTAATTTTTGTATTTTTAGTACAGATGGGGTTTCACCATGTTGGCCAGGCTGGTCTCGAACTCCTGACCTCGTGATCCACCCGCTTCGGCCTCCCAAAGTGCTGGGATGATAGGAGTGAGCTAATTTTTAAGATTAATTTTTGTAGAGTTGGAGTCCTGCTATGTTGCCCGGGCTGGTTTTGAACGCCTGGCCTCAAGCGATCCTCCTGTTTCAGCCTTCCCAGGCACTGGGATGACAGGTGCGAGCCACCGCGCCCTGCTGCTTCCAGTTTTTGAAGGCTTTGCTTTAGCGTAGGGTTAGCCCCAGTCAGCACGTTAGCATTTTCGGAAGATGAGTAACCTTGCTCACCGTCATGTCTTGTTGGGCAGAGGCACCGGGGAAGGGACAAGCTGGCAGCCACCTCCTGCAAGAAAAGCCTTCTGGAAAGAAGAATGTGCAAGTGACCTTTTCAAACGAGGGGGAGGGTAGTCCAGTGGATTAAGACAGAGAGATATTCCAGATATAAATAGCCGTGTGGGAAGGAAGGGGAAAGTTGAGACGGAGAGGGTTCATTTGATCCTGCCGAGGCGCCTAAGTATAGGATGGAGCGAGAGGATGCATGTTTGGAACCTGATGAGTGATGGGGGCTGCCCGTGCTCCGTGGAAACATTTTCACGTTCTGTGAGGAAAACAGAGGTTCCCTTGGCAGAGCCCCAGGAACATACATTCTGGGCGATGCTGACGTGGAGGTGTGATTTCTGTGTGAAGACTGAGAAGCTGACTGCGGGGGTCTGTTTGCAAGGTGAGAGCTGCCTCTCTCGGGTCTGGGCTTGGACTGAGAAAGAGAGTCTGGGTTCCAGACATGCCACAGGACAGGAAACAGGTGCTTTTTGTACCAAGGAGGTTTGACCTCCTTGACGGGATAGGAGACAGGTGCTTTTGACCAAGGAGGCCACACTCAAACCAAAGAACCTTCTGCTGGGCCGGGTTGCAGAAATGCTTTTTTTTTTTTTTGAGATGGAGTCTTGCTCTGTCGCCCAGGCTGGAGTGCAGTGGCTTGATCTTGGCTCACTGCAACCTACACCTCCCGTGTTCAAGCAGTTCTCCTGCCTCAGCCTCCCGAGTAGCTGGGACTACAGGCGTGCACCACCACGCTCAGGTAATTTTTGTATTTTTAGTAGAGACGGTGTTTCGCCATCTTGGCCAGGCTGGTCTTGAACTCCTGACCTCATGATCCACCCGCTTTGGCCTCCCAAAGTGCTGGGATGGCCGAAGTGAGCCCCTGCGCCCGGCCCAGAAATGCATTTTCTATCAGCTTCCTTAGAGTGCAGAGAAGATCCCGGGGGGTTCCTGGCTTCTGTGTGTGAAGTAGAGGAAGTTCCTCTAGGTGTTTTCCACACGGCGTAGTGTTGGGGGAGGGGGGTGGTGACAGGGATGAGGACGCTCTCAAGCCAGATGTTTTCATCGTATGTGCTCATATTACACAAATCACCTTTGCACGTTGTTGCCTTGTCTCAGCTCCGCCAGGCCCCTGCTGGTCACATGTTTTCTGAGCATCTCACTGGCCTCAGGCAGTGTCAGGATGCAGAGAAATAAATGACTCAGTCCCAGCTTTCAAAGGCGTTTATAATTAAGCTGGGGAGATAAGGCATGAAATATATATACCTATAAATTTAGAGTTTTTTCTGGGTGATGACCATGGTATTGGTTCTAAAAGGGCTGGAGTTGCCCGCAGGAGCTCTGAGAACGGAGGGGCCAGCCTCTCTCCTGGATGACCTGGTTCTGATCCATCTTTCCCGCTCTCCAGCTTTGAGATCTTGGGCAAGTTACTTTAACCCCACTTCCTCATCTGTAAAGTGGGAACGATAGCAGCGTCCACCTTGTCAGGTTGCGGTGGAGGTTTAAGACGATGACTGATATAAAAAGCTCTTGGCCAGGCGCGGTGGCTCACGCCTGTAATCCCAGCACTTTGGGAGGCTGAGGTGGACGGATCACCTGAGGTCTGGAGATCGAGACCATCCTGGCTAACACGGTGAAACCCCATTGCTACTAAAAATACAAAAAATTAGCCGGACGTGGTGGCGGGCGCCTGTAGTCCCAGCTACTTGGGAGGCTGAGGCAGGAGAATGGCGGGAACCCGGGAGGTGGAGGTTGCAGTGAGCTGAGGTTGTGCCGTTGCACTCCAGCCTGGGTGACAAGAGAGAATCTCTGTCTCAAAATAAATAAATAAAAATAAAAAGCCCTGAACATAGTGCTGGGCACAGAGGAAAAGGCCAGAAGACGGTGACCACTGTTCTGTTCCACGAGACCCGATGGTTTCCTGAGGGCAGAGAAACTGTCTTTCCTCCTTGTGTCCTTCTTACTTAACACGTTCGACACCTCTTATTAGTAAATACTTGGCACCGTGTTTATTGAAAGAAAGAATGAATGGTTTGGATGGAGAGTTGAAGGCTTGGCGGGATTCCGGTGGGAAGAGGTTTGGAATTCCAAGCAGAAAGGTGAGTCTCAGTGTTTATTGGTGCTGTCATCATAATTAAATGCCCTTATTTCAAAATATTGAACAATGCAGTCACTGAATGATACCCTGGAAAGGACAGGGGGATTATGTGGCCACAGTCTTCTTTGACAGGCAGGGAAACTGAGGCTCAGGGAGGAGGCGGTCAGATGGCAGACCAGCCTCCAGATTCTCAGCCTCTGTATGGCTGGGCCAGTCATATTTCTCTCTCTCTCTCTTTTTTTTTTTTGAGATGGAGTCTCGCTCTGTCGCCCAGGCTGGAGTGCAGTGGCACAATCTCGGCTCACTGCAAGCTCCGCCTCCCGGGTTCACGCCATTCTCCTGCCTCAGCCTCCCGAGTTGCTGGGACTACAGGCGCCCGCCACCACGCCCGGCTAATTTTTTTTGTATTTTTTTTTAGTAGAGACAGGGTTTCACCGTGTTAGCCAGGATGGTCTCAATCTCCTGACCTTGTGATCCGCCCGCCTCGGCCTCCCGAGGTGCTGGGATTACAGGCGTGAGCCACCGCGTCCGGCCTCCCGAGGTGCTGGGATTACAGGCGTGAGCCACCGCGTCTGGCTGGGCCAGTCATATTTCTTGGCAGTTTTCCTGGTAGCCTTTAAAAGAAGTCCAACCAGTGTCTGTCAGACTTTGCCAAGTTTTGCTCTTAGAGAAGAGATGAGGCCAGGCACAGTGTCTCATGCCTGTAATCCCAGCACTTCGGGAGGCCGAGGCGGGTGGATCACCTGAGGTCAGGAGTTCGAGACCAGCCTGGCCAAGATGGTGAAACCCCATCTCTACTAAAAAAAATAAAAAATTAGCAGGGTGTGGTGGCGCATGCCTGTAATCCCAGCTACTCGGGAGGCTGAGGCAGGAGAATCGCTTGAACCCGGGAGGCGGAGGTTGCAGTGAGCTGAGAACATAGCACTGCACTCCAGCCTGGGTGACAGAGCGAGACTCTGTCTCAGGAAAAAAAAAAAAAAAAAAAAGAAAGAGATGAGCATGCTGGAAAAGAGGGAAATACCACAGGCCCATCTTTCCCGTGTGAGTTTACATATCCCAGCCTCTAGAAAAGACCACTCTCCCCGTCGCGGGGGCTCATTCCTGACAGCAGAGTTGTTTTCCTGTGGAAGGGCTGGGGTCAGGCCCGGGACGCGGGGCAGACCTCCTATGTGGAAAGCCTCGAGTGGCTGTAACCCAGGGCTGAAAAAACAAACATGTTACCTCACTGGACAACAGCTCAGAGCTCTTAAGAGGGGGAATACCAGCGCTGAAATATGTGCAATGTAAAGAAAGGAATTTACAGAAGGTCAGGTGCTTCAATCTGGGAGTCTAGGCCGATGCGGCCCCTAACTGGTAGAGAGCCATTCCATTCCATCCAGATGGCTTGGCAGCCACAGTACTTTTTCCTGTTGGGCCATCAGGGAAGGAGAGGAGGCTCGTGATCCTGGGGCCCGTCCGGGCAGTTAGCCCCCTTCCCGAGTGGTGTTGAGGGACAGCTGCGACCTGAGCACCTGGCACTCGGCCCTGGGGCCTGGGGTCGTGGGAATCAGCCCTGTTGCTCTGAGGAAGTCACTGGAACCTGAGCAGGGAGGTCGAATATGCCTGAGTAGGAGAAAAACAAAAAGTTGGTGCAGGACAGCCCCGGACACGTGCTTGCCCTGAGCCTGGAGAATTTGGAAGGGAGGCTGCCGGGTCAGACCTGCCACTTGACTCGAGAGAGAATTTAGGTATCCCAAAACTTAGGAGCGGGAAGCGTTTCTTTTTTTTGGAGATGGAGTCTTGCTCTGTCACCAAGGCTGGAGTGCAATGGTGCGATCTCGGCTCACTGCAACCTCCACCTTCAAGATTCAAGGGATTCTCCTGCTTCAGCCTCTTGAGTAGCTGGGACTACAGACGTGCACCACCACACCTGGCTAAGTTTTTTTGTATTTTTAGTAGAGATGGAAGTTCACCATGTTGGCCAGGCTGGTCTCGAACTCCTGACCTCAGGTGATCCGCCCACCTCGGCCTCCCAAAGTGCTTGGATGACAGGCATGAGCCACGGCGCCTGGCCAGGAGTGAGAATCGTGTCTAATGCCAGTTATTCAAGAATCATCTTGGTGTGCTTTCAAGTACTTTGTGAAACCCAGCATAGGTCTCCTTGGAGTTGAGAGTTGCACTTTGCTAGACAGAGAGGAGCCGCAGCACGGAGCCACACGACCACGTGCATGCACCATCATCCTCCCGCACCCGTCACGCAGGCTGGGGTGCAGTGGCACGGTCATGGCCCACTGCAGCCTCAACCTCTGGGCTCAAGCAATCCTCCCACCCCAGCCTCCTGAGTAGCTGGGACTACAGGCGCGTGTCACCACGCCCAGATAATTTTTAAATTTTTGTTAGAGATGGGGGTCTCACTATGTTGCCCAGGCTGGTCTTGAACTCCTGGGCTCAAGCAATCCAAGTTCTGGGATGACAGATACGAGCCTCTGTCTCACTCTGGACTCCTTAGAGAAGGGAGTGTGAATTCTCTGTGGAGTGATAAGTACAACTGTTGAGAGTATAGTTTGAACTTGACATAGGTTTATAAGGTTGGGCCTGGCTGGAGAATCCTAACAGGTTTATGCTGGGCGCGAGGAAGTTATAAAAATGTTTCTCCTGTTCCTTAGAGTTCGTCCTCAGGGACAGGGGGTGTGGGGCATCCGAGGTGCCTCGTCCTGCTTGTGGTGGGAGGGGGGTCATAGTCTTTTCTTTTTTTGAGACGGAGTCTCGCTCTGTCTCCCAGGCTGGAGTGCAGTGGCGCGATCTCAGCTCACTGCAACCTCCGCCTCCTGGGTTCAAGCGATTCTCCTGCCTCAGCCTCCCAAGTAGCTGGGATTACAGGCGTGAGCCACCATGCCTGGCTAATTTTTCTATTTTTGGTAGAGATGGGGTTTCACCATGTTGGCCAGGCTGGTCTCAAACTCCTGACCTCAGGTGATCCGCCCGCCTCGGCCTCCCAAGGGTCATAGTCTTCCGTTTGGACTTCAGGGAGCTACTCAGACATTCCCTGAGCTGGAGGGTTCCATGATAATGATCATCAGTCATGGCTTCTGTGGACTGAGCCCCTCACTGGATTCCAGGGACCACCTTGAAGTGGTCTTCATGGCTCTCATCTTTAACACGGGGTAGCCTAGGACCCCTCTAGGACCACCTTGTTACTGCTTTTCATGTATTATCTCATTGCGTCTTCCAGGACGGAGAAGTGGGTCCTGGCTCTGCTGGCCGTCATTCCTCCCAGAGGGATGGGCAGCAGGAACCTGTCGTCCGTGGTACCTGCCGGGTTCCAACCTTGGTCTGTCTGACTCCAGCCCCCCCACAGTGTGACCGTCCGTGGTACCTGCCGGGTTCCAACCTTGGTCTGTCTGACTCCAGCCCCCCCCACAGTGTGACCGTCCGTGGTACCTGCCGGGTTCCAACCTTGGTCTGTCTGACTCCAGCCCCCCCACAGTGTGACCGTCCGTGGTACCTGCCGGGTTCCAACCTTGGTCTGTCTGACCCCAGCCCCCCCACAGTGTGACCGTCCGTGGTACCTGCCGGGTTCCAACCTTGGTCTCTCTGACTCCAGCCCCCCCACAGTGTGACCGTCCGTGGTACCTGCCGGGTTCCAACCTTGGTCTGTCTGACCCCAGCCCCCCCACAGTGTGACCGTCCGTGGTACCTGCCGGGTTCCAACCTTGGTCTGTCTGACCCCAGCCCCCCCACAGTGTGACCGTCCGTGGTACCTGCCGGGTTCCAACCTTGGTCTGTCTGACCCCAGCCCCCCCACAGTGTGACCGTCCGTGGTACCTGCCGGGTTCCAACCTTGGTCTGTCTGACCCCAGCCCCCCCACAGTGTGACCGTCCGTGGTACCTGCCGGGTTCCAACCTTGGTCTGTCTGACCCCAGCCCCCCCACAGTGTGACCGTCCGTGGTACCTGCCGGGTTCCAACCTTGGTCTCTCTGACCCCAGCCCCCCCACAGTGTGACCTGAATTTTCTGCAACCTCCTGTGGCCTTGTCCTGGCAGGAGGTGGGTAACTGTCATGAGTTTCTCAGACCACAAAAACCACAACCACCACCGCCCCCCACAAAAACGGAAACGCCCCTTCTTTCAGCGCTGGCCATGAGGGAGCGGTGGTGATGGATGGCTGACCGTGGAGAATTCTGCATTCCAGGGGACTGAGGTCAGGGCAGGCGGGAGCTGCGTGGCCCTGGTTTCCAGGACTCAGGCTCTGGTGCATTCTCGGGGAGGCTGAGCTCCCCTTCCCGGGTGCCCTCCGTCTACTGAGTGTGCCGAGCTCATTGCTTTCCTGCCTCCCGTCCTCTCTGCCCCTGTGGCTCTCCCAGGGAAATACCCACGGGACCCCAGGTGAAGGTTCCTGCTGCCCGCCCCTCTGGGGCTGGCCCTGCTGGGAGGAATGCCGGCCCCCACCCCCAGCCCTGCCCAGACTCATGCCTGAGGTTTTACTGCTTTCATTCACTTCCATACATGGAAGTGGGGCTTGCCCGCCTCTGCCAGAGAGCGCCTGGATCAGGAGGTTTGTCTCCACACAGCTGACAGACCCTCCCGCCCCCAACCCCCGCCCCCGCCCCCAGCTCGCATTTTTAAAATGTATTGATTGAGAAAGACCCTGGCTTTAACCACATCATGTCTGCAAAAAGAGAGCGTGAGCATCTCAACAGAGAGATCAGGCTGCAGAATTACCCTCTGGTCCCTCGTGCGATCGTTGCAACACTGGCCTCCACCTGGGGGTGTGTTAGAAAGTTCTAAAGAGAAGCTGTTCAGTCTTTTTTTTTTTTTTCGAGATGGAGTCTCACTCTGTCACTCAGGTTGGAGTGCAGTGGTGTGATCTCAACTCACTGCAACCTCTGTCTCCCGGGTTCAAGCAATTCTCGTGCCTCAGCCTCCCAAGTAGCTGGGCTTACAGGCGCCCGCTACCACGCCCAGCTTTTTTTTTTTTTTTTTTTTTTTTTTTTAAGTAGAGACAGGGTTTCACCATGTTGGCCAGGCTGGTTTCGAACTTCTAACCTCAAAAGATCTGCCAGCCTCGGCCTCCCAAAGTGCTGGGATTACAGGCGTGAGCCACCGTGCCCGGCCGGAAGTGCTTTTTATAATGCGGAGTACTAGGGTTCTACCCGGTTTTTTCTGATTTTGTTTCATAAGCGATTGAGGATTGGACCTTGTACTAGTTAGACTTCCAGAAAGTCAAGAGTTGACAGCAGTAGCTCCTAAAGTAGATTTGGGGAGGAATGTGTCTTTCTTACGGAGGTGTCTTTACTGGCTTGGTGTGTCATTTGTTGGTCTTCTTTGTGCCAAACACTTCGCCATTTCGTCCGACTCTTTCCCCTGCTAACATCTTGGGAACAGTGTTGCGTGTCCCACTGGGTTGTCTCTGTGGTCCTGCTCACGTCCGTCCACTCGGTGGCATCCTCTGAGCCTCCTTATAGTGGAATGTGAGTTATTTTGAAGCCGTAATTCAAGATTGTAAAATTCTAGAAGCACATGCCGAGCTCTGGCTTTGCTTTTGGGGAACGGACGGGGGATGAAATGACTGTGCTGGCCTGGCCGTTTGCACCCCACCCACCCCTGAACACCAGATATAGAAAGTTCTAGAAGCACATGCTGAGCTTTGGTTTTGCTTTTGGGGAATCGACAGGGGATGAAATGACTGTGCTGGCCCGGCCGTTTGCACCCCACACACCCCTGAAAACCAGATATAGTTCCCTGCCTTGGATAAGATCTTAAAAATAAAACCAAGCCTTCGGATCCTTTCTCGTTGGGATTTATTTTAAGCTTGAAATAGCAAACCCTAAAGTTCTTCATCTCTGTACCCACTCCCTTCCCCCACCGAATCCCTTTCTTGTATAAAAAGATTCTGAAATTCTTCCTTGATTCTTTCCTGCCTGGAGGGGAAAGGGGCGAACAGGCACCAGCTTTACTGCTGCAGTCCGTGATGTTGATCTGAATTCCTTCTCCTGCTCTTTTTCTAGTTAAAAAGATTCCCTGCTGTGACCCATGGATGTGTATTCACAGGGCACCGAATTTGTAAGGTGGATGGAACTGCCTTCAGAGTTAAGGGGCTTCTTTTAAGCAATCTTTTTTTCCTTTTTAAAAAAGTGATTTCTTAAGCATCAGGCTGTCTTCAGCCTACTAATTGTTTTGGCTCCAAGGAGGACCAGGACCTGGGGCTAATTGCTTCTGGCATTGACCGTTAGCCCCCGAGAAGCTGCTGGCCAAATGACTGTTACCAGAAGGTGCCCAGGCAGATGCTGGGGCTGAACAATGCATGGCGTCTTCCCACCCCAGCCCCCACTGCTCCAGGCTGAGCCCAGTGGCTCTCCAGGGTCTCAGAGGTCCTCACGTGGCTGCCCCTTTCCAGACTGAGGCAGGGAGGTGGGTCCTAACAGAGGAGGCCCGCGGGGAGAGGAGGAGGCAGCAGGGAGAGGAGGAGGCAGGGGGGAGAGGAGGAGGCCACGGGGAGAGGAGGAGGCAACGGGGAGAGGAGGAGGCAGGGGGGAGAGGAGGAGGCCGCGGGGAGAGGAGGAGGCAGGGGGGAGAGGAGGAGGCCGCGGGGAGAGGAGGAGGCAGCGGGGAGAGGAGGAGGCAGGGGGGAGAGGAGGAGGCCGCGGGGAGAGGAGGAGGCAGGGGGGAGAGGAGGAGGCAGCGGGGAGAGGAGGAGGCCGCGGGGAGAGGAGGAGGCAGCGGGGAGAGGAGGAGGCAGGGGGGAGAGGAGGAGGCCACGGGGAGAGGAGGAGGCCGCGGGGAGAGGAGGAGGCAGCGGGGAGAGGAGGAGGCAGGGGGGAGAGGAGGAGGCCGCGGGGAGAGGAGGAGGCCGCGGGGAGAGGAGGAGGCAGCGGGGAGAGGAGGAGGCAGGGGGGAGAGGAGGAGGCCGCGGGGAGAGGAGGAGGCCGCGGGGAGAGGAGGAGGCAGCGGGGAGAGGAGGAGGCAGGGGGGAGAGGAGGAGGCCGCGGGGAGAGGAGGAGGCCGCGGGGAGAGGAGGAGGCAGCGGGGAGAGGAGGAGGCAGGGGGGAGAGGAGGAGGCCACGGGGAGAGGAGGAGGCCGGGGGGAGAGGAGGAGGCCGCGGGGAGAGGAGGAGGCAGGGGGAGAGGAGGAGGCAGGGGGGAGAGGAGGAGCCCGGGGGGAGAGGAGGAGCCCGGGGGGAGAGGAGGAGCCCGCGGGGAGAGGAGGAGGCAGGGGGGAGAGGAGGAGGCAGGGGGGAGAGGAGGAGGCAGGGGGGAGAGGAGGAGGCAGGGGGGAGAGGAGGAGGCAGGGGGAGAGGAGGAGGCCGCGGGGAGAGGAGGAGGCAGGGGGGAGAGGAGGAGGCCGCGGGGAGAGGAGGAGGCCGTGCCCTGGCCCTGCTGTTTCCTCGTGTCCCGGGATGTGGATTTAGTACCATCTGAGAATGCTGCTCTCAGCCTCCGAGCGCTGGGGCGGGACGGGCCGGGGTGAGGCCCCGCGTTGGGACCCAGCTGTCTTAGGTTTTGCCTCAAGCGTTTGTTCCGTGAAGCACCGAGTGATGGTTTTCACCCCTGGCTGATCTTCAGTCGCCCGGGAGCTTTTAAACATTCCTTTCCCAGGCTGCTTGTTCACCGCTAGGTCCCCAGCGCAGGGCCGGGCCCTGTACAGTTCCACAGCCGTCCCTCAGTGCCTGTGGGCAGGTGGTCCCAGGGCCGCTCCTACCCCTCAGTACCCAGATCCCGTGATGCCAAAGTTGCTGATATAAAATAGCATTTACATATAACCCGTGTACATCTCCAATTTACTTTATTATTTTCTTCTTTTTTTTCTGTTTTGTTTCCTTTGTTTTCTTTCTTTATTGTTTAATTTTTATGGTGTACATATTTATGGTGGACGTGAGATATTTTGATACAGGCATACAACGTGTGATCATCACACCAGGGTAAATGGGGTAATCCTGTGTACTGTAAATTACCTCTAGATTACTTATAATTCCTAATACAATGTATTATGAGTAATACCTAATACATCTAATACATTGCTATGTAAATAGTCGTTATGCTGTGTTGTATTTTATTTTTTATTTGTATTTTTACATTTTTTTAAAAAATTCTTTTTACTGATTTTTTTGTTTTGTTTTGTTTTTGAGAGAGAGTCTCTGTCACCCAGGCTGGAGTGCTGTGGTGCCATCTCTGCTCACTGCAACCTCCGCCTCCCGGGTTTAAGCAATTCTCCTGCCTCAGCCTCCCGAGTAGCTGGGAGTACAGGCGCACGCTGCCACATCCAGCTAATTTTTTTTTTTTTTTTTTGTATTTCAGTAGAGACGGAGTTTCACCGTGTTGCCCAGACTGGTCTCAAACTCCTGAGCTCAAGACAGTCAGCTCGCCTCGGCCTCCCAAAGTGCTAGGATTACAGGCGTGAGCCACCATGCCTGGCCCTTTTTTTTTTTTTTTTTTTTTTGAGAGGGAGCCTCACCCTGTTGCCCAGGCCGGAGTGCAGTGGCAGGATCTCGGCTCACTGCAACCCCTGCCTCCTGCGTTCAAGCAGTTCCCCTGCCTCAGCCTCCCGAGTGGCTTGGATTACAGGCACGTGCCACCACTCCCGGCTAATTTTTGTATTTTTAGTTGAGATGGGGTTTCACCTTGTTGGCCAGGCTGGTCTCGAACTCCTGGCCTCAAGTGATCCGCCCACCTCGGCCTCCTGCATTGCTGGGATTACAGGTGTGAGCCACCACGCCGAGCCCTGAATATTTTTGATTTGGGGTTAGTCGAATCCGTGGATGTAGAACCTGTGGGTACAGAGGGCCCATTGTCCATAACTGTGTAAAATCAGCTCAATGCCTGTGTAGCCCCATTATGTCTGCCCATAATATTTAGGAAAGTGAGTCTTTTAGCCTCATTCACATACAGAGTCCATCTCACATCAGCACCTGCGCGTCCCCGTCACGCTTGTGACCTCGAAGGCCCTGAGGATGATTCCTGTGACGGTTTTTCAGCCACTACTGTACGTGGGTTACTAGTGCTTTGTCATCTAGAATGGGGTTCGTAACCGAGGGGGACGCTGCCGGTGCATGATCATGACAAGCCTAAGAGTGAGAGGATGCTTTTCACTGAGTGGGGGGCCCGTGCTGGGCCCTGAGTGCTGGCGTGTATCGTCTCTCCTCATGCGGCCCCTGGAGGACGCACCGTGGGGCCGACTGGCTTTCCCGGTTGTGCTGCTGATACGTGGCTGAACCAGGATCTGTGCTCTGGCCCTGAAGCTGTGAACTGCGTGATAACCAGCCAAGGCTGCCACAGAAGGCTGCAACCTCCCCGTGCCAGGGACTGCAGTGGAGACACCTTCTAGGCATTGCCTCATTTCATTCTCCCAAGGACTCTGTGACGTTGGCGTGATCACCCCCATTTTCCAGGTGAGGACACTGAGGCCCAGCGATGCGGAGATGTGCTGGCCGAGCCCGTCAGCGGTACAGTCGCCCGCTGCGGGGGGTCGTCCCTCCAGAGCCGATTCTTTTTCCCTGTGAGGCGCCGAGGCTAACGGGGAGCGTGGTTTTGGGACTTTTGGGAAGCAAATGTCACCGCTGTCTTTTGGTGGGAACTTCTCAGCCAGGGCGTTAGTGGGCATGATAACTCAAGCTCAGGTCTTGAGCACACCCACTACGGACTCTTGCAAGAGGGAGAGTTGAGGAAAATGGTTCTAAAACCTCAGTAATTAGAAGAGACAGCCTTTGGCCGGGTGTGGTGGCTCACGCCTGTTATCCCAGCACTTTGGGAGGCCTAGGCGGGCGGATCACGAGGTCAAGAGATCAAGACCATCCTGGCCAACATGGTGAAACCCCATCTCTACTAAAAATGCAAAAATTAGCTGGGTGCGATAGCAGATGCCTGTAATCCCAGCTACTCAGGAGGCTGAGGCAGGAGAATCGCTTGAACCCGGGAGGCGGAGCTTGCAGTGAGCAGGGATCCCCGGGAGGCGGAGCTTGCAGTGAGCAGGGATCGCGCCACTGCCCTCCAGCCTGGGCAACAGAGCGAGACTCCATCTCAAAAAAAAAAAAGAGATAGTCTTCTGAACTTTCAAGCGCCTAGAATACATCAACTCCTTGTCTTTTAGTTACCCAGCTCCCCCAACTCACTTTCTCTCTCTCCCTTTCCCTCTCCTTCTCCCTCTCTACCCCAGGGAGGGTCTCTGGCAGCCAAGAAAGAGCCTTTTTGTGGCCGAAAGGGTGAGAACAGCCAAGGCCCCAGGACCCCAAGGACATTCCCAGTTTCCAGCCTGTGGTTTGCTGGCAGCCTGTGGTTTGCTGGCCTAACCCTAAAGGCACACCTGATTGGTGGGTTATCTCTGAACGATCAGCACTTCTGTGAAGGGCAGAATACTCTGGATTCAGGAGAGAGATAAGCAGTGGAAGCTCCCCAGGCATTGGGCCTGGCTTTGGACATCTCCACTGAACATTTATTATTTTGGGGCTAAAGATATGAAAACAATCATACATTTAATATCCACCGACTTTGTGATGTTTAACATCTAACTCTGTCATCT